>NC_000021.9:43622065-43775961 GCF_000001405.40 Homo sapiens
TCTATTATTTTTTGTGATCAAAGATAAGTCATCTCTTTAAAATAACCTGTTATATCTAAAGATTTTTTTGTAAGCCTCATGGTAACCACAAAGCAAAAATCTGTAATAGATGCACTAAAAATAAAAAGCAATGAACTAAAACACACCAGAGAAAATCACTTAACCATAAAGGATGACAGTAAGAAAGCAAGAAAAAAGAAGAGGAGTTACAAAACAACCAGGAAACAAGCAACAAATTAGCAGTAATAAGTCCTTACTTATCGATAGTAACATTGAATATAAACAGATTCAATTTTCTAATTAAAAGAAATATGGAGTGGCTGAATGGAAAGAAACAAGACTTAACTACATGCTGCCTACAAGAAACCCACTTCACCCATAAAGGCACATACAGACTGAAAGTGAAGGGTGGAAAAAGATATCTATGCAACTGGAAACCAAAAAAAACAGGAGTAGCTACATCTATATCAGACAAAATAGACTACAAGTCAAAGACTGTGAAAAGAGACCAAGTCACTATATAATGAAAAATGGACCAACTCAGCTAGAGGATATAACAATTGTAAATATCTATGCACCCAACACAGCATTATCCAAGTATATAAATCAATCATTAATAAATCTAAAGGGAGAAATTGACTGCAGTACAATAACAGTAGAGACTTCAACATTCCACTCTCAGTAATGGCCGGATGGTCCAGACCAAAAAAAAATCAACAAAGAAACATCAGAGGTAAACTACACACTAGACCAAATAGACCTGAATCTTTACAGAACATTTCACCCAACTGTTACAGAATATACATTCTTTTCATCAGCATATGGAACATTCTCCATTACAGACAACATCTTATACCACAAAACAAGTCTCAACAAATTCAAAAAGTAGAATCATATCAAACAGCTTTTTTTTTTTTTTCGTAGAGATAGGATCTTGCCATGTGCCCAGGCTCGTCTGAAACTCCTGACCTCAAGCAGTCCTCCCACCTGAGTCTCTCATAGTGCTAGGATTACAGGCATGGGCCACTATGCCCAGCTCAGGTATCTTTTCTGACCACAATACAATAAAACTAGAAATTAATAGCAAGAGGACCCTCAGAAACTATATAAACACATGGAAATTAAACAACATACACCTGAACAACCAAATGCGTCAATGAAAAAATTGGGAAGAAATTTAAAATTTTCTTGAAACAAATGAAAATGGAAAAACAACATACCAAAATCTCTAGGACATGGCAAAAGCGATACTAAGAGGGAAGTTTATAGCAATAAATGCCTGTATCAAAAAAGTAGAATGACTCCAAATAAACAATCTAATGATGCACCAAGGAAATAGAAAAGAACAAACTAAACTCAAAAATACTAGAAGGAAAGAAATAATAAAGATCAGACCATAAATACATGAAATTAAAACTAAAAAATGCAGAAAATTAATGAAACCTCGAGAGCCTCAAGGTTATCTCCGTAGTCCAACAAGTGTCCATGCCCAGAAGAGATCTTGTAGACGACACTCCCATACCAAAGCCTGACTTTATGCTGTTTGTTAAGAGGGTCTCATCTTAAAAGTACAGAGTCAATACAAGGCTGGTGATGAAGTCACCTGGGTCAAGGTTCCAGAGTGGTCTTCCTTCTTATAGTGCCTCAAATTATATTTGTTTGCTACCTGTTGCATTAAAAGTTTCTGTTCAGCTATTGTCCTGACAGATGATTCAACAGGTGATTCCGCAAAAAAAAGACGAAAAAATAATGTTGATCAGTGCTCAAGTTGTAAATCAACTCTCTCCAAACTAACCTCACCTTTCAGGAGGTTCAACCACAATGGGGGAAACAGGACAATGCTAATGATCTCTCCTAGAGATCAAGGTACATGAGAAACAAATGGGTGCTCAAAGAACCAAAAACAGCAACAAGGACTCCTGCACACCTAGAAAAAGATGGGCTGTTCTGAAGACATGGGGAAAGGGAGCCACCAGCACATAAAATGGTACAGTCACTGTGGAAACCTGTCTGGCAGTTCCTCAAAAAGCTAAACAGAGTTACTACACCCTGCTATTCCACCCCGAGGTAGATACCCAGAAAAACTGAAACATACATCCACACATAAACTTCTGCACAAATGCTCGTATCAGCATTATCCATAACAGTCAAAAGGTGGAAACAACCCAAATGCCTGTTTATTGACCCTTCACTGCTGACTTAGACTCTGACAACAGAAGACCAGTAAGTTTAAGCTCAAAACTGGCACCTTATTCTTCCACATGCAGAGTCACACAATTCTAGGACTGGGATACCATAATTGTCATCTAGTGTCAGACTCTTCTCAGAAGACAAAAACCGAAGGTCATATATTCAAGAATACAGGGTTAGTCAGTGGCAGAAGCAGCAATGGACATGAGGCCTCAAGCCCCACCTGGCCTTTTCTGCACGCCACACTGCCTCCATGTGTTGGTGTGAGCGTGTGGAGGAGGAGGGATTGGCAGGCCAAGAGCAGCCACGGTCACTGACACAAAGGTGCTCTGCTGGTAACTTTGTGTAACTAGGAAGGTCCCTGGAAGACTAAGCTGGATCCAGTCCTGCCCCCAAATTATCAATCATCAAAAAGTAATTTTGATGCTGCAATTATTATCTAACATTATTTGAATACATAAACCAGAGACAAGGAGTACAATCATGATTTTCAAATCACTGAAAAGCAGAAAAAGCATTTAAAAGATTTCACTAGGAAGTTAAGCAGTTAATCTTCACAGGACTGTGAAGATTTCCGTCTCTTTCACACTCTTCATTTGCCCTCTTATCCAAGTTACTGGAAACAATCACATTGATATCAATGTGCTATCATTTACTACGGTTCAGTAGAAAATTCACAATATGTAAAGTAATAAGAGCAGATGTTACTATTCCACCTTACAGATGTCCAGAGAACTGACATCCTGGGAAGTAGATTCACTGAGCCAAACCTCTGCACTACACTAACCTATCATTAAAGAACAGTGACTACAGTTGAGTAGAAATTTAACAATTTCAAGGTTTAAATAAATTTCTGATTTCCAGCTTTAGCTTAGGATACAGAAAACTGGTAACAGCTACCCCATTCTTTCCGGGGGCAGAGGGAGAGATAATTTACCAAAATCACAGGTCTTCTTGAACACATTAGAGAGCTAAGGCTGGACATCAGCCAACCAATCTGAAAAATGACGAAAGACAACAGCCTCCAAGCAGATACATGAAGCAAGCACTTGCTCACCTGGGGCATATGCTGGACACCATACAAGGCAGCAAAAAAAATAAAAAATAAAAAAACCCCAGCTAAAATACTGAACAAATCACAAAATCAGTGGTTGCCTTGGGCTGGTGATGAGTGGAGAACTGGACTACAGAAGGATGGCGTGCAGGAAGTCTGGGGGAAGGAATTAGTTCCACAACCTAATTGTGGTGGGTAAATGACTGTATACTTTTGTAGAAATTTACAGAACTGCAAAAAGGTTTAAAAAAAAAAACTAAAGAATGAATTCACTGTATGTAAAATTTTAAAAAGAACATTTGTTTCAGAAGGAAAAGGATCCATTTGAGAGCTAACCCATGGTCTCTATTACCTATCCCCACAGGATAGTCTTGGTATTTGAGACTCATAAGCCCCCAAGCCTCTGCAAATCAGCACTTTAATAAAATATTCTTCCCAGTCAAATTCATTAACATGCAAATATAAGTGCCCACTATCCAACTCTTCATAAGAGTTCCTATGTAAACCACCACAAACACAGGAAAACAGCCGCGCTGAGCTTGAATGCTGGGCAACAGGGCGGCTTCACTCACAGCCCACTGCCTCACCAGCATGTCAGCCAGCAATTCAGGCAGCTCAGATTCACAACCAGCAACATGACAAGTCACATAGGTCATACGCCTTTGGGGTCACTTGCAAAGAGAAGAAAACGCAAATTATTTAATTTGCAAATGCCTTCTGTTAAAAGACAACCTTCAAACAATGTTTTTAAAGGGAGGGCAATGCAAGCCTGCTACAACTGTAGGTGCCATGATGAACGTATAGAATGCTGCCCTGCACTGGAGTAAGGAATAGCCAGAAAACATCACAGTCTCAGCATCCACCCCGCAAGAACTATCATCAAGTTTTAAAGGATTAAGAAACAAATGTCTACACAGACCTACCCCATTAGGATTTCAATAAAAGAATAACACCAAAAGAAAAATAAAATTTTCTCTCACTTTAACAGCAGAGAATTTTCCTAAGAACAGCATGGGAAAATAATAAAGCAAATAAAGCAGAGATTAAAGATCAATGTAAAAAAAAAAGTCTGAAATTAAATAATTCAAACTTAAAGCTGTTGGGACTTTAAATTATCCCAACCATTGTGAGGAATGTAGATATGCGGCTGCAAATTCTGCATTTTTCTTTCCTGTAAATAATTAAGACCAAACTGCTGAAGATAAGACTTCCTCAGATAACCCTCCTTGGAATGTAGCAATCTATAAACAGTCAAATCACTGTGGCACACACACTGGTCTTGTATGGAAAATGTTCTAATCCTGCTGGAACTTCTCTGTCTCTGCCTATATCAGTGATATCTTCTTCACTTTGGAACCCTGACCCCACTGGTTTGAAGTTGGTGTTTCTGAGTGGCCACCGTCAAGCTCTGTGCACAAATAAACTCTGTACTTAGTCATATTTTCTGAATCTCGTTAAGGCTGATAAGTCACAGCAATGTATTGAACCATTTCACTGACTTCAGAACAAAGAGCCTCAATACTCACTAGTACATTCCACCTCTTTCTATACCAAGAAATTTTTTTTTTTTTTTTAAGAGACGGAGTCTTGCTCTGTCACCCAGGGTGGAGTGTAGTGGCACGATCTCAGCTCACTACAACCTCCACCTCCCAGGTTCAAGCAATTCTCCTGCCTCAGCCTACTGAGTAGCTGGGATTACAGGTGTGCGCCACCACGCCTGGCTAATTTTTTTGTATTTTAATAAAGACAGGTTTCCCCATGTTGGCCAGGCTGGTCTCGAATTCTTCCTGACTTCAAATGATCCACCCGCCTCAAGCCTCCCAAAATGCTGGGATTACAGGCGTAAGCCACCATGCCTTGCTTCTATACTGAGAAATTATTTAGTTCCTGGACTTTATCCCTTATGATAGTTCTGAGACGGAATTTTATCATAACTCTCAGGGAAAGGTTTACTTTATTATCTTTTAGGAGAATTTTACTGAAGAGGCAATTTAGGTTTTTGGAATTATATAATTATTATACTAAAACAACAGCAAAGAGCTCAGCTTAAGCTTAGCTTAAGGCTTTTACTTTAGCTAGCCAGACAGTAAAATTATGATTCTGAATAAAAGCAGCTAAACTTACTTGTTTTTTTCTGTCAAGGTACATAACTACACAGAACATGCAAACTCATCTGTTTCCTTCAGATCATTCATTCTTAATAACTGATACTTATCAGAATCACCTGGGGTGATTTTCCAAAATAAACATACCCGGTACCTATCCCAGAACTATGGAATCAGATTATCCAGGGTGCTCCCCAGCATTAATATCTGAAAACACTCCTGAGAGATGTTTACACACTCTCAACCCTGACTGTAAACACCAGTCTCTGTAACAGTCACTACAGCTGAAAAGAATTACAGGCACATTTCGTTTTATTGCATTCACTTTATTGTGCTTTGCAGATACTGTTTTTTTACAAATTGAAGGAATGTGGCAACCCTACATTGAGCAAGTCTGTTGGTGCCATTTTTCCAACAGTGTGTGCTTAATTCATGTCTCTGTGTCACATTTTGGTAATTCTTGCAATAGTTGAAACTTTTTCATTATTATTACATCTGTTATGGTCATCTGTGATCAATGATCTTTGATGTTACCACTGTAATTGTTTTAGGGCACCATGAGCCACACCCATGTAAGACAGCAAATTTAATCAATACATGCTACTTATCTTCTGATTTTTCCAATGACTGGCCATTCCCGTTTCTCTCCCTCTCCTAGGAACTTGCTATTCCCTGAGACACAACAATACTGAAATTCGGACAGTTAATAACCCTACAATGACCTCTAAATGTTCAAGCAAAAGGAAAAGATACATATCTGAAAGCAAAAGCTAGAAATGATTAAGCTTAGTGAAGGCATGGCCAAAGCTGAGACCTGCTGAAAGTTAGACCTCTTGTGCCAAACAGCCAAGTTATGACTGCAAATGCAAAGTTCTCGATAGAAATTAAAAGCTCTATTCCAGTGAACACATGAATGATAAGAACGCAAAACAGCCTTATTGCTGATATGGAGAAAGCCCAAGTATTCTAGACAGAAGATCAAAAATCATCAAAAATCCCTTAAGCCAAAGCCTAATTCAGAGAAAAGCCCCAATGCTCTTCAATTCTGTGAAGGCTGACAGGGGTAAGGAAGCTGCAGAAGAAAAGCTGGAAGCTAGTACAGGTTGCTTCATGAGGTTTAAGGAAAGAAGTTGTCTCCATAACATAAAAACAACGTGCAGCAGCAAGTGCTGATGGAGAAGCTGCAGCAAGTTATCCAGAAGATCTAGCTAAGATCACTGCCGAGGGTGGTTACACTAAACAAGAGATTTTCAATGTAGACAAAGTCGCTTTCTATTGGAAGAAGACGCCATCTAGGACTTTCACCGCTAGAGAAAAGTCAATGCCTGGCTTCAAAGCATCAAAAGACAGGCTGACTCTCTTGTTAGGGGCCAATGGTGCGGGTGACTTTAATTGAAGCCAATGCTCATTTAACCATTCTGAAAATCCTAGAGCCCTTAAGAATTATGCTAAATCTACTCTTGCCTATGCTCTAGAAATAGAAAAACAAAGCCTGGATGACAGCACACCTGTTTCCAGCATGGTTTACTGAATATTTTCAGCCCACTGTTGAGACCTACTGCTCAGAAAAAAAGATTTCTTTCAAAACACTACTGTTCATTGACAATGCACCTGGTCAATCAAGAGCCATGATGGAGAGGTACAAGGAAAGTAATGTTGACTCCATGCCTGCTAATACAATACCTATTCTTCAGCTCATATATCAAAAAGAAATTTCAACTTTCAAGTCCTATTTTTTTTAAGAACTACATTTCATAACGCTACAGCTGCCATAGACAGTGATTCCTCTGATGGATCTGGGTGAAGTAAACTGAAAACCTTCTAAAAAGGATTCACCATTCTAGATGCCATTAAGAATATTCATGATTCAGCCAAGCGCAGTGGCTCATGCCTATAATCCCAGCACTTTGGGAGGCTGAGGTGGGCAGATCACCTGAGGTCAGGAGTTCAAGACCAGCCTGGCCAACATGGAGAAACCCCATCTCTACTAAAAATACAAAATTAGCTGGGCATGGTGGCGCATGCCTGTAATCCCAGCTACTTGGGAGGCTGAGGCAGGAGAATCACTTAAATACAGGATGTGGAGGCTGCAGTGAGCCGAGATCACGCCGTTGCACTCCAGCCTGGGCAACAAGAGAATATTCATGATTCATGGGAGGAGGTCAAAATAACAACATTAACAGGAGTTCGGAAGAAGTTGATTTCAATCCTCATGGATGACTTTGAAGGGTTCATGACTTCAGTGGAGTAAGTAACTACAGACGTGGTGGCAGAAAAAAAGGATAAGTTGCTTCTTATGGAAGAACAAAGAAAGTGGTTTCTTGAGATGGAATCTACTCTTGGTGAAGATGCTAAGACATTGTTGAAATAAGAACAAGAGATTCAGAATATTACATAAACTTAGTTGACAAAGCAGCAGTAAGGTTTGAGAGGGCTGACTCCAATTTTGAAAGATGTTCTACTGTGGAAAAAATGCTATCAAACAGCATCACATGCTACTGAGAAATCTTACATGAAAGGAAGAATTAATCAATGTGGCAAACTTCATTGTTCCTTATTTTAAGAAATTGGCACAGCCACCCCAACCTTCAGTAACTACCACCCTGATCAGTTAGCAGTCATCAATATCACGGCAAGACCCTCTACCAGCAAAAAATTGTAACTTGCTGAAGGCTCAGATGATCATTAGCATTTTTAGCAATAATGAATTTTCTAATTAAAGTTTGTACATTTTTTAGACATAATGCTATTGTACATACAACAGACTACAGTATAGTGTAAACATAATTTGTATATGCACTGGGAAACCAAAAACATTCATGTGACTCATGTATTATTGCAGTATTTGCTTTACTGCAGTGGTCTGGAAGCAAACAGGCAACATCTCTCAGGTGCGCCTGCACTTACTCGTGACAATTCCAGCCAGAGCGAAAACAAACTGACTTTCATCCGAATCCAGCTCCTGGACATCACCGTCTAACGACTTCACAAAACTCTCCATTGTTTGACCAGTGATGCTGAAAAACTTCAAAGCTTTATCCTGAAAGTTTGAAAATCAGAGTGTCATATCTTTTTACAGACACTAGTGTGAAAACATTTTAAAAGTGCAGGATACAGAAGATTCTAGTTTTAATTGTAGAATATTGTAAAATCTATTCCCTCATTAAAAGTTCCCATTAAAAGAACAGAGAAAGCAGCTTGAGGCATGCAGGAGCAACAAAAACTACCCTGAAGATTGGTGGACTCTTCACACGCATAAATATGATATAGGACAAATGTACATGATGATGAAAGTAAATGGGAAGAATTCACTCAAAATGTAATAAAAATATACTAGAAAAACATGCTGCCTATTTGCTCTGGGCATTAAACCAGAGGTGTTCAAACCTTTAGCATAACTTTTTTCAAAAAAAAAAATCTTAATGAAAACATGTAAAAGAGGTAAAGACTGGCTCCTCTGGTAGTTTAAATCTTCATCACTTGGCAAAAAGCATTTCCAAGTTTGAACCTTTGAGTTACTTCCTTTGGGGTGCTAGAGTTCTGAAGAAGAATTTTAAAACCAATGTACATTTTAACCCAGTTAAAAAATTGGAAATATTTGCATTTACAAATGATATAAGAAAACTTCATGGATGATCAAATAATCTAAAACTGGGTTGTGGTGATGGTTAATGCAACTCTAAAAATTTGCTAAAAACCACTAAATTGTACATTTACAATCTTACAGTATGTAAATTAAACCTAATAAAGCTCAACAAACTTTTAAAAACACATTTAGTCTTTCCACCTAAAGTCAAACACAACTGTTATTTCTATTAGCAGTAACTAATTTCTCACTGGTTTCCTGCCACACGTCCCCCTCTTCACCTTCATTTCCAGTCATGATCACGCCATGCTCCCAGAGTCAAACACCGATCTTTTTTGGCTCCTCTTGTCCCCTCCAGGTGCCCACTCTGCCCGGCCATCGCATCTGCCTCAACTGCCACAGCTCTCATACATGTTCCTTCTTTCCCATCTCCCCTGCAGAGGGCCGAGCTCACTCCAGCCAGACCAGCTAGAATGACCACCTCATCAGTCATCCTGTGTAGACGCGATGTGCCACAACTCCACCTCCTAATCCATCCTCACCCACTGTCAGGTGAATCTTTCTAAAATTCTGCTCTTATCCTATCACTTTTATTGAAAAACCCTTAGGGAAAATCCAGTCTTCCCACCTACAGAATGAATCACCAACCTGGTATTCAAGGTCCCAAAGTCACATCCCAACCTACGTTTAAGCTTTACCTCCCCACTACTCTATGACATTAACTCTCCACTGTGTCAACTGACCTACTCACTGTCCTAAAACAAACCCACCCATTTTCTGCCATTTCTACCTATTCATCAAGGCCCATTTCAAATTTATCCCCTTCTGTGAAGTTCCCTGACAAATGCCTGCACGCATGCATACATGTGCGTGTGCACGCTCCCACACACACACATGCTCCCACACACCCACACGCTCCCACACACACGATCCCACATACACAGGCTCACAGGCACACACACTCCCCCCCCACACACGCTCCCCACACACACACTCCCACACACACAGGCTCCCACATACACACACATGCTCCCACACACACACACGCTCCCCCCCCACACACGCTCCCACATACACACGCTCCCACACACACACACGCTCTCCCCACACACACGCTCCCCCAAACACACACACGCTCCCACACACACACTCACACAGTCTCACACACACACGCTCCCCCACACACACACATGCTCCCCCACACAAACACACATACGATCCCACATACACAGGCTCACACACACACACACACACTCCCCCACACACACGCTCCCCCCACACACACACACAGGCTCCCACATACACACACACGCTCCCACACACACACTCCCCCACACACACATGCTCCCATACACACACGCTCCCACACACACACGCTCCCCCCCCACACACACACACTCCCCCACACACACATGCTCCCACACACACACACAGTCACACACACATGCACATGCTCAAACACACATGCTCACACACACACGCTGCCACACACACACACAGTTGAACCTTGAAAACAAGGGTTTGAACTGCACAGGTCCACTTACACAAGAATTTTCTTCAGTAAAAGTTACACCAAGTGTGTCTGCTGCTCCAGCCTCCCCTTCCACCTCCTCCACCTCTACCACCCTTTAGACAGCAATGCCAACCCAACCACTCCTCTTCCTCCTCCTCTTCAGCCTACTCAATTTGAAGATGATGAGGGGGAAGACCTTCATGATGATCTAACATACAAAAAATGTGTTAATCAACGATTTATGTTGTCAGTAAGGCTTCCAGCCAACAGTAGAGAGAGTCAAAAGTTCTATGTGGCTTTTCGACTGTGCAGGGGGTCAGCGCCTCCAACCTCCATGTTGCTCAAGGTTCTGCATCTATATGTATGTGTGTGTGTGTGTATGTATAAACACACACACACATCTACATACATGTATATATGTTAGATAACACAATATTCAATAAATACTATATTAACCATGAGATAATATATATAAAAGCACTTTTGATCTTCTTAAACACATGTAAAGTATTAATACTGAAGTGGTAATATGTCCACATATACCACAAGGTCTCCTGGAGAGAAGGGATCTTATTTCATTCCCTTTGCATCAGGTTACAATGAACCATATACGATAAGTATTCAATAACTAGCTGATGAGTGAACAAAAGAAAATGGAAAGATATGGACTTAGTCTTTAAATGCCTTAATAAGCTATATGCTCTAATTTACACAAGCAGTAATCAACAATATCTGGAGAGCCCACTGACCATACTTACTCCTCCCAAAATGGCCTTGACGACTTCCTCACTGCTGGAGACACCCCACAAGAGGGTACACGCTGCTGCTCCCATTTCTGTACAATACTCTGCCTGCTGCAGGAGTTGCTGCTTCGCTTCATTCAACTGCTGTCGAAGAGCCAGTTTCTCCTAAAAGCAAAACAAAATTGAAAAATAAATAATAGCATTCAACCTTGATATATCTTTATTACATTTCCTCTTTCACAAAGATATTTATTAAAGAAATGCATGTATAATTATAGAAAATAGTTGCAAATGAAAGCTAGTCCTAAGAGAACCATAATCTGTATCTACAAAAGAAATTTCAAAGGCAAAAATATTTGAGAAATATCTGAGGAAAGAACATACTACCACATTATGGTTGATAAACCCACAGAGCTGAATTCATCTGCTTTAAGTAACTACATGAAATATCTCAAGCCCCAAGTAACTATACCCAGAACCAGCACCAACCGAGGCTTCTGAACAAAAACAACCTCACAAAGCAATTTACCCAGAAAGCAACATTTCTAAGACAGGAGACTGCCTCCTCCAAATGGCTCACTCCATTGAAAAAACGCCATCTGCCAGAGGCAGACACCAAATAAAAGGCACTTGGACATCAGGATTTGTAAAAAAACAAGTACTTTAGAAAAACTCATCCTGTATAAACGTATCCTTAACTCCTCATGAGAATATTGCCAAAGGTGCCAGTAAATATAAAATACAATCTGTGAAGCTAAACAGGGAAAGAAAACCTAAAACCTAAGACCAGGTAGGAAAGATGGGAGGAGGGGCAAAAAGAAGTGTGAAGGCTGGGAGTCCTATTCATGCCCTGGTGCAGCAAGCCAGTGCCAGTCTAAGAAGAAGATGGAGGCTAGGAAGAGTTTCCTACTCTCCCACCAGCAGTGTCTGAGGTGACCTGTAGCTGGGCAAGTCTCCACCATGGCACTCTTCACAAGGGAAACACAGGGAATGGCCGTCCTGATGGCCCTCCTGACAACACAAGCACACTTCGAGGATTCACCTTGAGTGTACTGCTAGAGTGATGGGGGGCTTCCTGTCCTCTCCAACCACCAGCACCAGGTACCTGAAATTCCCTTAAAAGGTGATAGCATTTCCTGATTTAATAAGACAAAAACTGAAAAATATAAAACCCCAGTTAAATTCATTTATACCAAATGTAATTAGTTACATAAACCACAAAATTAAAGTATATTAAATGCTGTAGATTTTCTTTTAGAGAGATAAATACAAGACAAAGTAGAGGGGGCTTTTCACCCCCTGGAGGAAAAAGGGAGCTTTGGAGCCACAAATCAAAACTGTTGACCTCATAACTTGGATTAGGGTGGCCCACTCATAGTTACCTGGAGACAATGCGTTTGGCACACAGAGATTCATACACATTCATACGTATATGCACACATGTATTTAAGAAAAAAATGGCCACTGAGCCTCTGGCACATGCTAATACTGCATCATGTGATCTGTCAGCTCCGGGTTTTTAATGTCTTCATTATAGCAACAATCTGGACTCCTAGATTCATCCTTTCAGTGTACGTAGCTGAACACAAGTCATGGTGACACATGAAGAAAACTATGTCACAGCACTTCCTTTTGGAATTCTAGCTTTTCTCACAACTTAAGCTGTCTGCATCTCAATTAGTCAGGATATGGTGGTTCTTCTGCACGACCACAAAAAGACTACTGAGAAGAACCAGGAAGGACTTTGCTCACTACAGTCACATTTGGTAGTTGCAGGAGGATATTCCCCAACGCAGGGTTCCACACATAGTATAATAATATCAAAAAAAAAACAAACAAACCTCAAAGAAAATCATAGCATTCCCAGTAACATCAAAAATAAGAATAATTTTTTAAGGTGCAAGACCTATACAATGAAAACTACAAAGCATTACTGAGAGAAAGTAGAGCTAAATAAAGAGATACACCATGTTCAAAAATTGGCAGGATGTCAATTCTTCCCAAACTGATCTACAGATTCAACACAATCCCTATCAAAATCTCAGCAGACTTCTGTACAAAGTGATAATCTGATTCTAAAATTTCTATGGAAATTCAAGACAGAATATCTAAAAAATTGTCTGAAAAAGAAGAACAATGTTAGAAGACTAACAGTGCCTGATTTAGAGGAAAAAACTAACTATAAACCTACCGAAATAGAACCATTGTGGTATTGCTATAAGGATGGACATATAGATCAGTGAAACACTGACATGTCAACTGATTTTAACAAAGGTGCCAATGCAATTCAATGGAAAAAGGATAGTCTTTTCAACAACTGATGCTAAAACAACCGAATATTCATATGCAAAAAAAAAATAATTCAAAATGAATCATAGGGCCGGGTGCGGTGGCTCACACCTACAATCCTAGCATTCTGGGAGGCTGAGGTGGGTGGATTGCTTGAGGTCAGGAGTTCAAGACTAGCCTGACCAACATGGTAAAACCCCGTCTCTACTAAAAATACAAAAGTTAGTTGAGCATGGTGGCACGGGCCTGTAATCCCACCTATAATCCCACCTACTCGGGAGGCTGAGGCAGGAGAATCGCTTGAACCCAGGAGGGGGCGACTGCAGTGAGCCGAGATCGTGCCACTGCACTCCAGCCTGGGTGACAGAGCGAGACTCCATCTCAAAAAAAAAAAAAAAAAAACAGAATCATAGGCCAGGCACAGTGGCTAATTGTACCTTGGGAGGCTGAGACGGGAGGATCGAGACCATCCTGGGCACCATAGTGAGACCCCATCTCTACAAAAAAAAAAAAAAATTTTTTTTAAATAGCCAGGCATGGTGAGGCTGAAGTAGGATCACTTGAGCCTGGAAGGTCGAAGCTGAAGTGAGCCATGATCACACCACTACACTCCAGCCTAGGTGACAGAGCAAGACACCATCTCAAGAAAGAAAAAAAAGAAAGAAAAGAAAAGAAAAGAAAAGAAAAGAAAAGAAAAGAAAAGAAAAGAAAAGAAAAGAAAAGAAAAAACGAAGGGGAAAAAAAGAGAATCATAAACATAAATGTAAAATTTCTCAAAAAAATCGTTATGACCATAGGTTAGGCAAATATTTCTTAGATATCACAAAATCATGACCTATTAAAAAATAATAATAAAGTAAGTTTCATCAAAACTTAAAAGTTCTACTCTTCAAAAGATACCTTATAAAGAAAGTAAAAAGACACGCCACAGGCTAAGAGAAAGTACTTCTAATCACATATCTAAAAAAGGACTTGTGTCCAGATTAAAGAATTCTTACACATCAATAAGACAACCCAATTAAAAATGGGCAAAAGATTTGAAGAGATATTTAACCAAAGAAAACATATAAATGTGTCCGGGCGCGATGGTAATCCCAGCACTTTGAGAGGCCGAGGCAGGCGGATCACTTGAGGTCAGGAGTTTAGGACCAGTCTGGCCAACATGGTGAAACCCTGTCTCTAATAAAAATACAAAAATTAGCTGGGTGTGGTGGCGTAAGCCTGTAATCCCAGCTGCTCAGGAGGCTGAGGCAGAAGAATTGCTTGAACCTGGGAGGTGGAGGCTGCAGTAAGCGGAGATCACACCACTACACTCCAGCCTGGGCGAGAGCGAAACCCCGTCTCAAAACAAAAAAAAAAAAAAAAAAAAGAAATAAAGAAAAATGAAAACATACGACCGCAGAAAAACCTGTACACAAATGTTTATAGTGGCATTATTCATAACAGTCAAAAACTGGAACAGGACGAGCGAAGTGGCTCACGCCTATAATCCCAGCACTTTGGAAGGCCAAGGCGGGCAGATCACTTGGGGCCAGGAGTTCGAGACCAGCCTGGCCAACATGGCGAAACCCTGCATCTATAAAATAAAAAAGAAAAAAAGAAAACTGGAAACAATCTAAATGCCCATCAACTGGTGAATGGATGAAGAAAATGTGATATATCCATCCAATGGAATATTGTTTTGCAATAAAAAAGAATAAATGATGTATGCTATAACACAAATAAACCTTCAAAACATTATGCCAGACACAGAAGACTACATATTATACACATATTATATAATTCTGTTCCTACAAAATATTCAGAAAAGGAAATCTAAAGAGACAGAAAGATCAGTGTTTGCCTGGGGCTGTGCAAGAGAGCAGGGACTAATTGCAACAGATATGTGATGGAAATGTTCTAAAAGTTGATTGGACAAAATCCAACACTCAGTAATTATAAAAATAAATAAATAAATAAATAAATAAAAATTCTCAGTCAGGCCCAGTGGCTCATGCCTGTAATCCCAGCATTTTAAGGAACCAAGGTGGGAGGTTCACTTGACAAGAGAGAGAACTTGGAGACCAGCCTTGGCAACACAGCAAGACCCTATCTCTACAAAAACTTAAAAAAAAAAAAAATTAGCTGTATGGTGGCATATGCCTATAGACTCAGGAGGTTCAGGCAATTGGATCCTTTGGGCCCAGGAGTTCAAGGCTGCAGTGAGCTTTGATCACACTACTGCACTCCAGCCTGGGCTACAGAGTGAGGCCCTGTCTCTGGAAAAAAAAAAAAGAAAGAAAAAAGGAACTCAGCAAACTAGGAATAGAGGGGAACCTTCTCAATTTTATAAACGCATCTGCAAAAACCTACAGCTAAAATCATAATTAACGCTGAAAGATTGAATACTTTCCCCTGAGATCAGGAACAAGGCAAAGATATCCACTCTCACCACTCTTATTCAGCACAGTGCTGTAGTGCTGGAAGGCCTGGCTACGCAAGAAGGAAAGAGGAAGAAATAAAAGGTATACAAAGCAGAATGAAGAACTAGAACAGCCCCTATTTTCAGATGACATGATTGTCCATGTAGAAAATCTCAAGAAATCCATAAAAGAACTCCTAGAAGTCAAAAAGAGTTCAGAAAGACTACAGGGGCCGGGTGCGGTGGCTCACACCTGTAATCCCAGCACCAAGAGACCAAGGCAGGCGGATCACTTGAGGTCAGGAATTCGAGACCAGCCTGGCCAACATGGTAAAACTGTGTCTGTACTAAAAATACAAAAATTACCCAGGCATGGTGGCGCACATCTGTAATCCCAGCTACTCGTGAGGCTGAGGCAGGAAAATTGCCTGAACCTGAGAGGCAGAGGTTGTAGTGAGCTGCGATCACACCACTGCACTCCAGCCTGGGGGACAAGATAAACAAACAAAAAGCAACCACATTTCTATGTGCTAATTAAAAAATGGAAACCAAAATTAAAAACACAATACCATTTACGGTTACTCCAAATAAAATTAAATACTTAGGTAAAAATCTAATACAAATGTGTATGCTGAAAATAATTAGGTAAAAATCTAACACAAATCTAGATGCTGAAAATAATTGTAAACTGCTGATGAAAGAAATTAAAGACAACTTAAAGAAATGGAGAGACATGCTATGTTTATGAATTGAAAGATTCAACATAGTAAAGATATCAATTCTCTACAAACTGATCTACAAACGTACCACAATTTCTATTAAAATTCCAGCAAGGTTTTTGTAGACATAAACAAGCTTACTCTAAAATTTATGCGGAAAAGCAAAGAAGCTAGAATAGTTAGGGCAACTCTGAAAAAGAGGAATGAAATGGGAAGAATCATTTTATCCAGTGTTAAGGCTTACTATGTCGCTACAGTAATCAGAATAATGTATTATTGGTGCAGGAACAGATCAAAGTACCTGAGTAGAGAACCCACAACAGACCCAGGCCAGTATGACTGAATTTTGACAATGGTGCAAAAGCAATTCAATGAAGGAGAGAGAGTCTTTTTGAGAAACAGTGCTGAAGCAACTGGACAACGATAAGCCAAAGAAAAAAATATTAACTTGAACTTAATCCTCATACCTTCTACAAAAATTAACTCAAAATGAATCATAGACTTAAATGTAAAATGTAAAACTATAAAACCATTAAGAAAAAAGAATGGGAGAAAATTGTGGTGACCTAGAGCTATGTGAAAAATTCTTAGACATAACAACAAGAAAACAGTCTATAAAAGGAGAAATCAGTAAATTGGACTTCATTAAAATTTAAAACATTCGCTTTTTGAAAGAACCTGTGAAGATGAAAAGAGCAGCTACAGACTGGGAGAAAAGACTTGCAAAACATATACTCAGCAAAGGACTTCTATCTAGAATATATCAAGAGCTCAAACGCAAAAGTAAAAAAAGAAAAAATCCAATTAGAACATGGGTAAAAGACACGAAAAAAACATTTCATAAAAGAGAATACACAGACAGAAAATAAATGCATGAAATGATGCTCAACATCATTAGCTGTTAGGGAAATGCAAATTAAAACCACAACAAACCTATCAAAATGACTAAAATTCAAAATAGAATAACACCAAATACTGGTTAGGACATGGAGAAAGTGAATCACTCATACATTTTGGTGGGACTCTAAAATGGTACAGACACTCTGGAAAACAATTTGGCAATTTCTTCCAAAACTAAATGTGCACTTACCATACAACCCAGTAATTGTACTCTCGGGCATTTATCACACAAAAATAAAGACACACATTCACACAAAAACCTATACATGGATGTTACTAGTGTCTTTATCAGTAATAGAAAAAAAAACCGTAAGAACTATTCAAACTTCTTTCAGTGGAGGAATTACAACATATTGCAAACAAATTGCAACATATACATACCATGGAATATGAGGCAATAAAAATATCTAACGATACATGCAACTTGGATGTATCTGAGTGAAAGTCAGTCTCTGCCAGGCACCCATGGCTCATGCCTGTAATCCCAGCACTTTGGGAGGACAAGGCCAAAGGATCAACTGAGCCCAGGGGTTCAAGACCAGCCTGAGTAACATAGCGAACCTGTCTCTACAAAAAAAATTAAAAATTAGCTGGGCATGGTGACATGTGCCTGTGGACCTAGCTACTTGGGAGGCTGACATGGGAGGACTGCTTTGGCCCAGGAGGTCAAGGATGCTGTGAGCCATGATCCTGCCACTGCATGTCACTGCCTGGGTGACACAGTGAGACTCTGTCTCAAGGAAAAGTCAGTCGCAAAAGGTTATTCTACGTTATGACATTCTTGAGATAACAAAATTAGAGATGGAAAATGTATTAGTGATTGCCAGGGGCAAGGCAGAGGGAATGGGGTGGATGTGGCTATAAAGGGGTAGCACCAAGGAGCCTTACGGCAATGGTACAGTTCCAAGTGTGGTGGTGGTTACATGAATCTACAAATGTCATAAAATTGCACAGAACTATGTACATACATGCACACACAAATGAGTACATACAGAATTGATGAAATACAAAGAAGTCCAGGTGAAACTGGTGAAACCTGAAAGTTGTTAATTGTACCAATTCCAATTTCCTGGTTTTTATCTTCTACTATAGTTACGCAAGATATCACCACTAGGGAAAACCGGGTGAAGGGTATAGATAACTTCCCTGGACTTTTTGAAACTTCTAGTGAATCTATAAGTAAACACAAAAAAATTTTTTTGTTTCCAGTGGGATTGGACCAAAAAATTTTAACCAAAAAAAAAAAAGCTGTATAAATTTACTAAAAACTATCAAACTATACAATTACAATGCAAAAAAATTTTTGTGGTACAAAATATACCTCAATAATGCTGTTTTAAAGAAACAATAATCAAACCCTGATATATTTTCCTGTTTAAAGGAATACTCATACATAACAGTTTATCAAGCACAAAACTCCCAAGATTTCCTCAATATCTTTCTGTAGTTCATTCTGTATTTTAGCTTAACTACAATTTTTCTTTTAAAAGTTTCTTGGCTCACTGCAAGCTCCGCCTCCCAGGTTCACGCCATTCTCCTGCCTCAGCCTCCCGAGTAGCTGGGACTACAGGCGCCCACCACCACGCCTGGCTAATTTTTTGTATTTTCTTTTTTTAGTAGAAACGGGGTTTCACCGTGTTAGCCAGAATGGTCTCGATCTCCTGACCTTATGATCCGCCCACCTCAGCCTCCCAAAGTGCTGGGATTACAGGCGTGAGCCACCGCGCCCGGCCAATATTCTCCAACAGTTGTGCCTTTACCAGGAAGCTGGGATCTTTTTCCTCTAAAGTTCAAACGTTGCTACTGCCAGGACTCTTTCCTGGCCCAGCCTCCTCACATCATAAGCAGGTATCAAGACCCAGTGCACCTCCTCCACTGACCCAACAAAATCTCTGTGGAGGAAACATCTCCACCATGGCCAGGAACAAAGTCTTCCTTGTTTGAGTAGCCTTTCTCTAGGGGTTCAGAAGCTGCTTGCTCATACATCACACTTTATGATTTGGGTTCCATACTTTGTTTCTGACCTTTTCTTACATATTGAACTCAATAACTTCTGCCTTTTCCTAGTAATTTTTCACTCATACAGAAGTACTTACTAGCAGCCAGGCACGGTGGCTCACGCCTGTAAACCCAGCACTTTGGGAGACCAAAGTGGATGGATCACCTGAGGTCAGGAGTTCAAGACCAGCCTGGCCAACATGGCGAAACCTCATCTCTACTAAAAATACAAAAATTAGCCAGGCATGGTGGCACGTGCCTGTAATCCCAGGTATCCAGGAGGTGGAGGTTGCAGTGAGCTGAGATTGTGCCACTGCACTCCAGCCTGGACGACAGAGCAAGACTCTGTCTCAAAAAAAAAAAAAAAAAAGTACTTACTAGCAGTAATCTAATTGAGGATCTAGTCTCTGGATTCTTTCCTGGGTCCTCAATTCTATAATAAGTTTCCAGGGCCAGGTGCAGTGGCCCATGCCTGTAATCCCAGCATTTTGGGAGGCCCAAAGCAGGAGGATCACTTGAGCCCAGGAGTTGAAGACCAACTTGGGCAACATAGTGAGACCCCATCTCTATAAAAAAATTTTAAAAATTGTTTTAAAAATTATACAATAGAATTGTTCTTGTAAAAAATAAAAATTAATTAATTAATTAAATTTAGCTGGATGTCATGGCACATCTCTGTAGTCCCAGCCACTCTGGAGGCCAAGGAGGAGGATCGCTTAAGCCCAGGAGGTCGAAGCTACTGCAACTATTATTGCACCACTGCACTCCAGCCTGGCAACAGAGCAACACCCTGTCTCAAAAAATAAATAAATAAATAAAATAAGTTTCTAGAGTCCCTCCTCATGATCCGTACAGGCCTCAACAGAGACTACAGCAAAGGCTACAGATAAGGCAGCTGCTAGAAGAGAAATGGCCTTGTTACAGCAACCTTGCAGGAGCTTTCCTCTGTATTCACCTTACAGGAGCTTCCCTCTGTATTCACCTTGCAGGAGCTTCCCTCTGCATTCACCTTGCAGGGGCTTCCCTCTGTATTCACCTTGCAGGGGCTTCCCTCTATATTAAATTGGACTATTCAACAAGATTTTTAACTATAAATAGGGAATAGTTGGGTAAAATATTCCCACATTTTAAGGTCAAAGTTCCAGGGCAACAAAACCCTAGCGATTTCAATGCTACTTTACCATGGCTGTTTCCTTCTTCTCAGTATGCATTTACTGGAATGGCTTCTTTTCTTTTTTTTTTTTTTTTTTTTTTGAGACAGAGTCTCGCTCTGTTGCCCAGGCTGGAGTGCAGTGGCACGATTTCGGCTCACTGCAACCTCCACCTCCCAGGTTCAAGCAATTCTCCTGCCTCAGCCAGGCTGGTCTCGAACTCCTGACCGCAAGCGAACCGCCCACCCTGGCCTCCCAAAGTGCTGGGATTACAGGCTTGAGCCACTGTACCTGGCCTGTTAGTACTATTATCATCCAAAATAAAAATATATCCAGGCCCCAAATTTTATAAAAAGTGTCAGAATAGTTCTAGTTCTATGGAAAAGGAAGTTATGCCACACAAAAAGTTAAACTAAGCAATTTTTAAGAAATATTAGTTTCTCTAATATTTATATAAAATATAACTGGCTAAAATGTAATAATCCCCAAATTAATTACATGTACTTCTGATTTAATACATCTATGTCCAACTATAAGATATTATGTACATGATTTTTTCCTCCGAGACTCTCATCGCTATGGTTTGTCCCCCTGCAAACTCATGTTGAAATTTGATCCCCAATGTGGCACTCTTGAGAGGTGGGGCCTAGTGAGAGGTGTATGGGTCATGGGAGTGGATTCCTCATGAAGCGATTAATGTGCTCTCTGGAGGGTGAGTGAGTTCTTGCTCTCACAGGAATGGATTAGTTTCCCTGAGAGCAGGTTGGTAAAGAGTCTGGCTTCCTCAGTTTCTCTCTCTTGCTTTCTCTCATCATGTGATCTCGTCACACAGCCAGCTCCCCTTCTGTCATGATTTGAAGCAGCCTGAGGCCCTCACCAGAAAAAGATGCCCAATCTTGAACCTTCCAGCCACCAAAATCTTGACATAAATAAACCTCTTTTCTTTATAAATTACTCAGCCTCGCCGGGCGTGATGGCTCACGCCTGTAATCCCAGCCCTTTGGGAGGCTGAGGCGGGCAGATCAAGAGGTCTGGAGATCGAGACCATCCTGGCTAACACAATGAAACCCCGTCTCTACTAAAAATACAAAAACTTAGCCGGCCGTGGTGGCGGCCACCTGTCCCATCTACTCGGGAGGCTGAGGCAGGGGAATGGCGTGAACCCAGGAGGCGGAGCTTGCAGTGAGCCGAGATTGCACCACTGCACTCCAGCCTGGGCGACAGAGCAAGACTCTGTCTCAAAAAAAAAAAGGAAAAAAAAAATTAATTACTCAGTATCAGATATTTTGTTATAGCAACACAAAATGAACTAAGATAATTATGAACCTTTATGTTGTAGGGCAGATTTTTAAACATAAAAGTTAAAAGATACCAAGTGAATGATCTACGTGTTAAATGGTTATAAAATCCATCTGTTCAACTACATTCCAACCCACTCAGAATACATACATTTACAAATACAATTTATTGAGGATTAAGAGTAAAAAATTCAGTCCCACTGCTTATCATAAGTGAAAGGCTGTAAGCCAGCCCCACTTTCTGGCTTGGTGAGAGTCTGTCCCTGAGCATGGTACCTTCTTCTCTCTTATGTTGTCGGCCTGCACGGTTTCCAGGCGGGCTTTAAAGTGCTCACAATCCATTTTCAGCTGCTCTAATTCTTGCTCTTTCCTTTCCAGGTCTAGGAGAAAGACATAAAATTACTCAAGATATTTCAAGTCACTAATCTCTCCCTAAGCATCTATTTTGCCCAGTCTTGACTTAGTAAAATGTGTACTGATTTCTTAGGTGAGAATATTTGCATTTCTTGACTTCTAGCCTGTCCTTGAATAACCAATATTCTAACAGTCCTGTTCTCTAAGTTCATCTCAGTTTTTAGCCCACAGCACAAAGGACTTTGGTTGTTTTCTGTTTTGTGTTTTTAAGGTTTCACTTTACTGCCAGACTAGTACTCAAGGCTTCAAGAAAACATGTTATTTAAAGGATGGAAGGCAGAGCTGAGAAGCCCGACTGTCTCATGGCACAGACTTGTCGCTACTCCATGAAAAGCAGAAGGCAGCTCAGGGAGTGCACGGCGCCAGCACAGGCTGATTCACAAAGCTAGTGTCACCCACTGGCAGACTGACTCAATGGGAACAACTGCAGTAGTAGGCACTGGAGGAGGGAAAGAACAGTGATAAAAATGAGAAAATGCTATAGTGAAAGAGTGGAAACTATGTAATACTTCCTCTCCACCGCACTCATTTAGTTGATGAGTCAACAACAGCCAACAAAAATCCCAAAAAAATCCACGTCAATAAATCAAGCAAAAGTACTATCAACTTTAAATTTAAAATTTTATGTTGCAGAAATACTGACACTCGAAAAAACAAATATATAATACAAATTTTTAAGTGTTTGATCTCAAAAGCTAGGAAATCATCAGTTTTTATGCCAACATATACCAAGATTTGAGGGTGCTAAGAGCTAATGGTCTAACTTCTTTGATTAAAGTAGCGATGCTTTAGGACAATGATTCTCAAACTTTAGCGTACATCAGAATCCCTGGAGGACTTGATAATACAGAGTCGGCTGGGTTCCATCCACAGTTTCCAATTTGGAACGTCTGGGGTGAGCCTGAGAATTTACATTTCTAACAAGTTCCCAGATGAGACTCATGCTGCCTGTCTGGGACCCACACTTTGAGAACTACTTCTGGGCGATAACCTGGTCTCTCATCACCAATAAAATAAAATGAACATGCAACACATGACCAGCAACAGCAAACAAGGGAACCCATCCACAGGAATGTGAAAAAGCAAAAAAATGGAGAGTAATGGAAGGCAGCTACCTAATATTTGTCACATGAAGGAATTTCACTTCTTTACACATTCCCTCTCCTAATCCTTGAACTGAGAAAAACACAAGGCAACTCTGGTTATCTGTTTCATTCTTGTACTGTCACTTGCGATGAGTGAGAAAGCCTCAAAGAGCCAGGCGCCTGGAAAACGGAACATTACTCCACCCTAGAGGAGAAAAAGCTCACAGACACTTCCTCAACTATCTGCAAACAAACGAGAAGCGGGTAGGGCTTTCGAATCTAGGGGTCTGAGAGGACAAGAGGAAGCCAGAATAAGACACTTGTGGGGACTGCTTAGAACCACACGTGTATCCCCAAAGCTCTAAAGGAAATGTTAAAAAGGAAGGAAGAAAGCAAGCTAGTCTCTAAATTTTCTAGAGACCCCGTCCTAGAAGAAAAATTAGAACCTAAAAGTAAATATTCAGACCAGCTAAACATCATAAAATTGGCTGGCAAAGCTTCTCATAAAATGCGTTTCTTAGGGGCCCGGCTCGGTGGCTTATGCCTGTGTAATTACAGCACTTTGGAAAGCTGAGGTGGGAGGATCACTTGAGGCCAGGAGTTCGAGACCAGCCAGGGTAAGACTCCCATCTCTTAAAAAAAAAAAAAAAAAAGTGGTTCTCAGAAATAGAGCAGAGTGCCTTTGGACTATTTCCTCTCCCTCAAATCACAGTTTCATTTTCTGCTCTTTTAAGAAATATTGTGCCACAATGACTTTCACTGGAATTCTTGATTTTATCCTAATCCCAGCCAAAAAATCAACTAGGAAGCACTATGCTTTAAAAACTACATACTTGCATTATTTGTAACAAAGTTAAATGGAAATACATTATTTATACACATACACACTACAATCATATGAAATACCACCTATGGTCACAGACAAAAATGAACAAACTGAAAAACTGAGATGAAATTTGTGATTTAAAATTTTTTCTTTGCATTTAACTGTTAAATTTGGCTTCTACTATTAAACGGTATATTACTCAAACATGGTAAAAGAGACAGGAAATCTCTACAAGCCTTATCATGTGTAAAAACCTGTGGGAATTAACTTTGACCACCCAAAACGGCTCTCTTGCATTACGGTAATTTCATAATCACTTGTTCCAGACAGCTGTATGCAACCCTAGTGTAAGTTAACATACCAAAGGGACAGGGTTAAAACATCCCACTCTACGATAGGCAATCTCATAGAATTCCAGTCAGTCATCAGGGAGGCCACACCCATCTACGCCAGGCTCCTGGGGAGGTGACAAGTGCCCTTCTGCTGTATGAGGCCGCCACCTTGTGGCCAGATGGGAGCATTGCTGCTGCCTCGGAACAGAACCCTGACCTTGCATTTTCAACTTGGCCCCACTGCATGCATGCTACCTAAAAGCACCCTGAAGGCAGGGATTTGCATAGGTTTTCTTCTATGCCCACCCTCCAAATGTCTATATGGAATATAGTAGGCAATACATAAATATTTGTCACATAAATTTATTTCACTTCTTTATACATTCCTTCTGCTAATCTTTGAACCAAGAAAAACACATGGCTACTTTATCTGTATGTCTCATTCTCATACAATAAGAATATATTACTTTTATATTTTTTTAAGCCCAGAGACAGAAATAATATGAACAGTGAATATTACAAACAACCTAAATCATAGACCATTTAAACATCTATGTATCTTCTGAAACAACAATTTTTTTTTTCCCCGAGACGGTGTCTCTCTGTCAGTGCAGTGGCACGATCTCAGCTCACTGCAACCAACGCCTCCCAGGTTCAAGTGATCCTCTTAACTCAGCCTCCCGAGTAGCTGGGACTACAGGCGCCTGCCACCAACCACGCCTGGCTAATTTTTGTATTTTTAGTAGAGATGGGGTTTCACTATGTTGGCCAGGCTGGTCTTGAACTCCTGACCTCAAGTGATCTGCCCATCTTGGCCTCCCAAAGTGCTGGGATTACAGGCGTGAGCTGCTGCACGCAGTCCATAATCCTTTCTTAATACAGGTCTAATAACATGAGAATGGCTGTGTCTCTTGATGCTCAATTTATTCACAGGGAGGGTACAGAAAGCTAGAAAGGAAAATAAGGGTTTCTAAAACACTAATCAAAGAAAACTGCACAAACGGCGTCAATTTATCTTACCATTTCTTTATCACCTGGTATGTGAGGTCAGGAGTTCAAGAGCAGCCTAGACAACATGGCAAAACCCCATCTCTACTAAAAATACAAAAATTAGCCCAGCGTGGTGGTACACGCCCATAGTCCCAGCTACTCGGGAGGCTGAGGTATGAGGACTGCTTGAACCTGGGAGGCGGAAGTTGCAGTGAGCCAAGATCACGCCAGTGCGCTCCAGCCTGGGCGACAGAGCAAGACTTCATCTCAAAAAAAAAAAAAAAAAAAAAAAACTAAAATCAATCTTGCTGAACTCAAATTAATTCTGTTGATTTCCCAAACCAGAGTCAGGGAATTTTGCTTTTCATTCACTGACACACATATATGACATGAACAGCAGAGCGGTCACGGGTGATATTAAAACACCACACACCTCTTCCGCCTCCATCTTGACCACCTTGCCACCTTCTCTGTCCATAAGCTCCCCAAGTGTTTTTTTTCCCTCTACTTTCCTATGTTCTGGACAATCTCCACCCTGATCTGTGCCCCAAGAGGCAGATGTGAAGACCCACAGTAACAAGGCTCCCTCGTCCTATGGCTTCCTGTTGGATGCAATAGCAGCCCCGCAGGAAACTGGAGGACTAGAGAAGATGACCAAGGATGGGACATGTCTCCCCACTCCATCCTCCCTGCTGGGCTTCATCCTCCTGGGTGAGGTCCCAGGTGCTGTCAAGCATCTTGTCTGGAGCAACGCCTCTCGCCACGTCTGGTACCTCTCTCCCTTCTGCTCCTTCAGCCCAGGGGAGGCAATGGCGCTCCACTCGTTAGTTCCCGGATGCTTCTTTCTCCAGGCACTGGTTCCCCCAACCCTGATCACACTTTAATCTCTTCACTTTACTCCGTTTACTCCTTTTGTTCCCTGCCAGGATATGGATGTGACACACTCTTCATGTTCTTTTATCTGGGCCACAATAAACTCCGAGTCAAAGTAATAATCCTTTTTTGGTGCTGACTCTTTGGTTCTACTCTTCATGGATATTTCTCAAGTTCTTATTTCTACAGACTACAAATAATTCTTCCCAGAACTGAAATGGGGGTACCCCGTATCAAACTCTCAGGAAATTAATCTCAAAATATCCTACACTTTAGAAATCACATAGCGCAGTGGTTTTCAAATCCTACTGCTAAGAATCTAAGAGTACCTGGGGAACAACTACAGTCCCATAAACATTCAATTAATATCTCCATTTTACAATGTTATTTACAATTTTTATTTGGAAGTAATTTCAAATTCACAAAAACTAATGCCAAAAAAAATTCCTGTTATCTCTCTTTACCCAGACTTACCTACTATTAACATTTTGTTTGCCTCATTTGCTCATCATTCATTTATTTAATTAAAAAAATTTTTTTGAGATGGAGTTTCCCTCTGTTGCCCAGGCTGGAGTGCAGTGGCATGATCTCAACTCATTGTCACTTCTGCCTCCTGGGCTCAAGCGACTCTCCTGCCTCAGCCTCCCAAGTAGTTGGGATTACAGGTGTGCTGACCGCGCCTGGCCTTTTGTTTGTTTTTCAGTTTGGGGTTTTTTTTATTTTTTTGAAAAAAAATTTTTAAATACAAAAATGAGCCGGGCATGATGGCGCGCACCTGTAGTCCCAGCTATTCGGGAGACTGAGGCAGGAGAATGGCATGAACCAGGAAGGCTGGGGTTGCAGTGAGTCAAGATGATGCCACTGTACTCCAGCCTGGGTGACAGAGGGAGACTCCATCTCAAAAAAAAAGAAAGAAAAATCTGTTGGTCAAATATCTCACCAGCGTATCATGGCTACACTAGTTCGCATTCACTGCTGATATTTTCAATGACCAAAACAAGGCTGGTTCACATTAACATCAAAAAACATATAAACAAATTTTAAAAGGTTAAAATTATTTAACATTTTAATTATTTCAGAAATGAGGCCAACATTTTAGGTGTGCTGTCAACATACAAAAATAATTCCAGCTCCTCTGAGACTGTCAGTGAATATCTGACTGCCACTAAGGTGCCAAATTGTCAAATGCAGCATAATGCATGAAAAGTGTTTTCTGTAAGACAATGAAGATTTAAACAGACTGAATGGCTTTTTTATTATTTCTCTCCAAAATGAACAATTGCCAATCAAGGAAAGCAAAGAATTGCTCGATCTTAGCGATTTAATTGTAAAACAAAAATATCTGACTCCTCTTATTTCAAGCTTCATATCAGTTTAATTAGAAAGTGTCTTCATGTTGCTAGGTGAACTACTTCAAAACCACCATCTGCAACTCCTTATCTGTGGGATTGTGTCTTCTTGCGACTTCACAAGCAAAACTAAAAACAAACTGGATGCTGAAAGTGATCATCCAAGTACCTTCCAAAATCCCTGATACTAAATTTGTGTTTTCATCGCACCACCTTCATTGTACTTACTGATTTTATAAGTCAATGTTCTAAAACTTAATTTTAAAAACAAATACCCAGAAGATACAGTTTTCATCTATTTTACATCTAGAACCATCATATACTATTATATAATTTTTTTTTTGAGACAGAGTCTCGCTCTGTCGCCCGGGCTGGAGTGCAGTGGTGCGATCTCGGCTCACTGCAAGCTCCGCCTCTGGGGTTCACACCATTCTCCTGCCTCAGCCTCCCGAGTAGCTGGGACTACAGGCGCCCGCCACCATGCCCGGCTAATTTTTGTATTTTTAGTAGATACAGGGTTTCGCCATGTTAGCCAGGATGGTCTCGATCTCCTGACCTCGTGATCCGCCCACTTCGGCCTCCCAAAGTGCTGGGATTACAGGCATGAGCCACCGTGCCCGGCCCATAAAATTTTATTTATAAAAAATAGGATTTTCCTAGTTTTAAACAAATTTTTGATACCCACTGATTTATTCACCACTGTTGGATGAATAAAGCACAAGAAGGGATGAAAGAAAACAGAGGGTGATATCTTACTAAGTACTTAAGTGCCACTACCTTAACAAGTCAAATGGAGGTTCCTATAGTGTTTTCAGGCTTGCTTTTTTTTTTTTTTTTTTTTTTTGAGATGGAGTCTCACTTTGTCACCCAGTTTGGAGTGCAGTGGCATGATCTGAGCTCACTGCAACCTCTGCTTCCTGGGTTCAAGCGATTCTCCTGTCTCAGCCTCCTGAGTAGCCAGGATTACAGGTACATGCCATCACACCCGGCTAATTTTTGTATTTTTAGTAGAGATGGGGTTTCACCTTGTCGGCCAGTCTGGTCTCGAACTCCTGACCTCAAGTGATCTGCCAGCCTTGGCTTCCCAAAGTGTTGGGATTACAGGCGTGAGCCACCGCACCCGGCCCGGTTTACATCTCTTGCAAACATAGCTGAGTCTTACTCGAACCTCCCTAAACTTTTCCCAAACTCATGAAGTGACAATGGCCGAGCCAGAAGCTAAGCTGCTGGGCTGTGAATTGGAGTCTCTCTTCATTTCCCCAAGGGTTCACATAGTTTCCCACACCATCTGAGGAGGTGTTATTTACCAGGGACTCCTATGAGCCAGTCACAGTGGCACACACCTTACAGAGCTTATCTCATTTTAAGCTTTGCCATAGCCTATGAGGTAAGCATTACTGTCCACATTTTGTAGACACTAATCAGCAGGCAGTATATAGATGATCCTGTATCTCCATACTCTCACTGCCGATCATAAATCATGACACTTTGTCCTGACTTAACCACCAAGACTAATCAAACGTCCCTTCCATTCCATCCATACAGCCACAGTCCCACACACTAATGGAACTCACGACCTTCCTTGATGAATGCTCTAATTCATCTTCCACCCAATTCTTCAAACCTATCCTACACTCACCTATAAAAACCATTCTCCTAAAAAACGTCATTTTGATCACTATTTTGATGGTTATTTCCATGTGGTAATTTCCAGTTGACTCTCATCTCAAATTAAAAACAATCTATGATTGTCTTCCATAAACTGTTCATTTTCCATCCCTAATTCTGCTATACCCCCAATCCTTATTCCATACAGCAATCAAACACTAGCTGATGAACCTGCAATCGGTCCTGCTCAATCCCATGTGTGACTTTCACATGCCACCGCCCTGGCCTAGAATATCTCCCCTTCTCCTCCTAACAAATCATGCCTCTCCCCAGTACCCATCAACTCCCTAAGACTCTCAGGCAACACCTTCGTCAGTATTATTGCAAACTGCCATTTACCTTGCCCAGTCCTCCCAAAGGGAGATGCTGGGCTAGAGTCAAAATCAAGCCCCATTCGCTACTTGATGTGTCACCTCAATCCTCTAGCTGGCTTACAAGTTACTGTATAGCCCAAGCCCATCCAAACAAAACTATATCCACACTCTAAAAGAAACTTCTCAAATCAGGTCTACTCCTTCCCTGCCTGTATTCATTCCTACCTTCAGGTTGCCTTTAGTCACTGCTTAAGATTGGAAGCACATGGTGACTCATGCCTGTAATTCCAGCACTTTGGGAGGCCAAGGCGGGCAGATCACTTGAGGTCAGGAGATCGAGACCAGCGTGGCCAATATGGTGAAATCCTGCCTCTACTAAAAATACAAAAATTAGCCAGGCGTGATGGCAGGCGCCTGTATTCCCAGCTACTCTGGAGGCTGAGGCAGGAGAATAGCTTGAACCCGGGAGGCAGAGGTTGCAGTGAGCTGAGATCACACCACTGCACTCCAGCCTGGGAGACAGAGCCAGACACCATCAAAAAAAAAAAAAAAAAAAACAACTGGAAGTGCACATTAACCTCTAGAAGCAAAAGGAGTGGATACTGGACAATAGGGCTAGTGGGAGAGTAGAAGAATCAGTATGTCAAACGGCTCTTGCTGCCACAGTACAATCGTGAATTTCCTCTGTAGAGCTCTATTCTTAGAGTCATGTCTAGCATGATTAGTCTAGGAAGACAGGCTCGTGGGAAGGCTTGGGGAGGGCCATCAGATCTAGGCCTTATAAAAAGAAGAATTTTTATTTTTCTTGATGTTGGCTAAATGGTAAAAACTCAAAAGCCAAAATTAGATAAAAGATGCCTTAGGAGGCCACAGTAAACCTCCTGGAACCAGCCCAGCCCAATCTGATCCTTCCTTTCTGTTAACACCACGTTTCCTGGAGCACATGTGAGTTTCATGAGATAGGACTGCAAACTAGAAAGAAGGGCATCAGGCCAGGCGCAGTGGCTCATAACTGTAATCCAGTGCTTTGGGAGGCCGAGGCGGGCAGATCACCTGAGGTCAGGAGTTCAAGACTAGTCTGGCCAACGTGGTGAAACCTGGTCTCTAACTAAAAATACAAAAATTAGCTGGCGTGGTGGCACACACCTGTAATCCCAGCTACTCGGGAGACTGAGGCAAGAGAATCGCTTGAACCCAGGGGGCAGAGGTTGCAGGGTTGCAGTGAGCTGAGATCATGCCACTGCACTCAAGCCTGGGCAACAGAGTGAGACTCGGAAGAAAGAGAGAAAGAGAGACACAGAGAGAGAGAGAGAGAGAAAAGGGAAAGGAAGGGAAGGGGAAGGGAAGGGAAGGGGAAGGGAAGGGAAGGGGAAGGGAAGGGGAGGGGAGGGGAGGGAAGGGAAGGGAGAAGGAAGGAAGAGAGAGAGAGAAAGAAAGAAGGGCATGCAGAGACAGTAGGGTGCTCCCTCAAGACCGAATAATCAGCCAGGGAGATAATGACAGACAAAATCAGGGGCCGAGATAATGACAGATAAAATCAGGGGCCCTGCACTCCCAACAGCTTATAAAGTAAAATGGAAATAAAACCATGTGTCTGAAGGAAGCATAGGGTACCATGACAACATTTCAAAGGAAGATTGATCATGTCGAGGTAGTCAGATTAGGCAGTGACTCTGAGCCGGGGCTGTGCCCAATAATATAAAGCCTTTTAAGCCGTAGTATGGTTTTGCTTAGGTTTTTGGATGATAATGAGTCTGGGTGGGGTTTTTAGGTTTTTGCTCTTTATCCTAAAAACAAAGAGAAGCGTCTGAAGACTTACGCAGGTGAATGGCATCATCAGATTGAACTGCCACAAACTACTCAGGCTACAGTGTGTCTGAGGGACTGGAGAGTGGCAGTGAGGAGACCGCCAGGAGGAGGCAGAACACAGCAGTGGAGACAGACGCAGGCTGATGATTCAGGATGCATCCATGAAGTAACACTCACAAGACTTACTAGCGGACAGGTTTCATGCGGAGTAGTGAGGAAGAGAGACAGGTAACAAGGAAGACTCCTGGGTCTCTAGTCTGGGTGTTGGTGCTCTGGGGAGACTGAGGCAGGCCAGTGTAAGACAGGGGCAGGGAACAGATAGCATGAGGCAGATATGACAACAGGAAGTAAAAATCAGCTTGCACCGAGAAAGCAAAAGTCTGTCCTGACTTCTGTCAGGCTGGAATAACAAACACAGATAAAGTCAGGTGCCAAGTTAACAGAAAATATCTCTCAAAGACAATGCAACTGTAAAGTGTCATAATGACCTCTTCTTTGAGTGACTGCTAACTTCTTATTCACTGAGAAGCCTTATTCTGTAAAATCCCAGACTCGCACAAATTTTGTTCTTTGAAATTATACAAGTAAGAAGATCCCACTCTTGCCTGCAGGATCTAAGTCACTGTGACACAGAAAAGAACCCTATTTCCAGCTACTGCAGAGCTTCAAGTAAGGGATTTCTAGAACAATGTTCCACGTCTATTTGAACGTTGTAGTTTTCAAGGAAACGGGACCTGGGTCCGCTTCGCAGTCAGACTTAATATTGGTCCCTTTAGACACAGTTCTATTTTGCTTCATTTATGCTTCACCTAATACCACTCTGTCTCCAAGTCCTACAACAACTCTATCCTCTTTTTTGTTGACATGCCCCACAGTTTCTCGGTGTTCTGGTATGGTCTTCCTCACTGCAAAGAGCCATAAACCTCACTCTGTCAGACTGTGGGTCTGTTCCTGGCGACCTTAGACTGATTAGGCTAGGGCAGACATTTAGAATTTGAAATAATCATGAAACAAGCAGGAAGAAATGCCAAGTCGGAGTCAGGCACAAGGCCGTGAGCTTGGAGAGTTCTGGGCTAGAGAGTAAATCCAGCAGCCACTGGCATCAAGACGGTAACTGAAGCTGTGAGTGTGCATGAGACTGCCTAGGGAGAAGCCATGGGGTGAGGCAATGAGCGGGGCCTAGGCCTGAGTCTCAAGCCCTATTGGAAGGCTGCAAAGCAGAGAAGGATAAATTTCAGCAAAGGGGAATAAGCAGGAATTGCCAGAGAGACTATGGGGAAAAAGGTGACTCTATAGCCTGGGAAAGGCCGGGACTATGAGATAAGATCTCCCAAAGGCAGACTGTGATCAAGTGACCACAGATTTGTTTGTGGCCCTCACTCGGTTTGATTTTGGCAGCGGGACTGATCACTAAAGACACTCATGTTAACTAACTCATGAGACCCTGATGTATTTTTTAGAATGCCAGTTTATTAATTTACAGTGAGAATATAACCAACCAGCAGGCTGCCATACGCTGCTACTGGTGTATGCCTATTTACCTTCCTTTCCTGAAGATAAATGCACAAGGAATGACTAATCTCAGAAAGTTGCTGGATGAGCATGAAATCAAAACTAGAGAAATTAGAAGTCAATGACCTGGCATTCTGGCAACCAATGACACGCCATGTATCTGGCAGAGTCCCAGTGGGAAAGAGAAATCAACCCAGATGTTGAGACTTTTCTGAAGGGACCACTTACAGAGGGGAGAGCAGAGATAACAGAACCACCAAGGGACAGCGAGGTACCCAGGGACTAGCAACAGCCCTACAGCCACAGGAGCAGGGGCAGTCCAGCAAGAGCTAGGACTACGGAAGAGGCCTCTAGACAGGAGTCTCTGTTGTGGAGGGATGCAGCTACTGCCACAAAACAGCAGCAAAGCAGGGAGGGAGCAGGAAGAAACACCCCAACCTCTCTCTCCACCCAGCAATGCCTTCCATTGGTGAGCCCCACTGGCAGCCAGCAAGGGAACCAGGAGAGCCCCATCTGTAGGGATCTACCTCCCAGAGCACACCACAGGGCAGAGAAGACTGGATCCAAGGACTTCGGAGAGAATATAAACAGGACAAGGTACGGTGGATGAGAACTGTCCCTTCTAACTGGATGTGGCTGGCCCACTGACCAGATACGTTTGCACATGCCAGAAACTCATATTCTCGGGGTGAGCTATCTTCTTGTCTGGACAAGTGCTACAGCTACCTGGGCCCCCTGGATGCACCTTTTCTAGAGGGCACACAGGGAGGGATAACAACCAAATGTCATGCAGTAAATTGGCCTTTACCGTCAAAGGCTGATTTAATCATGATTTGGCCTCAATCAAGCAAGTGCTGAGACAATCTCAGAGTATGTCCAGGAACTTCAATAGGCTCCTAAACTGGTATTCAACATAACAGCTCAGCTCAAATCTCAAAAGTCTGAATGGACACCAGAAAGCCTAAACTTCAATCAGTTCTAGATACTGGCTCACCCATCCACCTAAAGATAAGTGAACACACTTCCAGCTATCTCTACTGACAAGTAAACTCCATGCAAGGTTTCCATTTGGCAAGATCCTTAACTTACACAGTAAGTACTTAATTTTCAGAATAGAGCTTTTCAGTTATCAAAAGTATAAAATTCTTCTGCCAATGAAGAGAGAGAGAAAGAGAAGCTGTTAATAGATGCTCAGAAAACTGGCAACCAACTTATACCAACTTACATATGTCCAAGTCACTACACTGAGGAAACCTCCCTTTCTTAGGTCATCAGACTCTCCCAAATATCATCACAAGGACTGTAAGAGTACCTTAAAATTCGTTTACAATTATTTACCTAGGGTAAATCTGCTAGAACAAATTACTGTTACCACCAATGACTGCTGAAAATGAAGACTCACTTTTTTCTACAATCTTTAATTTCTGGAAGCTCTCCAGCACCTCCCCATTTAGTATTCTGGGTAAGAAGTCCCGTATTTGCATCACTTCAGTTGTCAGCCGTTCCAGATCCTTCTTTCTGACTTTAACAAATTCCTCTTTAGTTCCCATGTGCTAAAAGAACAAGCAGATCTTATTATATTTCTCTTCACATGAGAAAAAAAACAACAGCTCAAGTTAACTTGCTTTTCTTTCACACCTCTTATGTGCATCGTTGTTTCAAATCATGTCTCTACCTACTGTATATTCTGCTATAGATATATTTTATGTACATACAAACATTTTGAAAGCTGAAGCTTCAGCCTTCAAAAAGGGAGCCAGATGTTAAAAATAATAAGGACAAACAGGCCAGGCATGGTGGCTCACACTTGAAATCCCAGGAATTTGGGAGGCCAGGAGTTCAAGACCAGTCTGAGCAACATGGAGAGACCCTGTCACTACAAAAATATGAAAACGTGCCCAGGAGGCCCGGCGCAGTGGCTCACGCCTGTAATCCCAGCACTTTGGGAGGCCGAGGCGGGTGGATCACCTGAGGTCAGGAGTTCAAGACCAGCCTGACCAGTATGGTGAAACTCCATCTCACTAAAAATACAAAAATTAGCCAGGTGTGGTGGCCGGCGCCTGTACGCAGCAGGCTGACACGGGAAGAAGGCTTGAGCTCAGGAGTTGGAGGCTGCAGTGAGCTATGATCGTGCCACTGCACTCCAGTCTGGGCAACAGAGCAAGACCACGAAAAAGAAAAGTCATACAAGAGCTCTATTCCTAAAAGTCAAAGAAAACGCCTGCAACTTTTTATCACTGCAGCACCAAACTAATCAGGAGGAAAAGGAAGTCATCTGGTTTCCTACTGGGTTTGCCAAGCCCTCCGCCCGTGATCTCATCTACTATTCACCCCAAGCCTCCAAGATTGTCTAGATGGAAATTAAGGCACGGGAGCTAGATGACTCTCAATGCAGCACAATTAATAACGGGTGGAAGCAGGATGTGAACACGGATCTGGCCCCAGTCCAAGCGCCTTCTCCATCGCATGCAATCAGTTACAGTTATAAAATCGATGGAGGGCAGATTCTCTCTAAGCCTGACGCTAAGTCCCGAAGCAGGGGGCCAGGGCCTTCGGAGGGGAACTGGGCTTCCACGGAGCAGAGAAGAGAGTGACCATCCATCCCACGCTCCCATGCCCGCTTTGGCGCCACTGAGTGCCCCCACCACGCGCAGCCTCACAGACCGGGTCCCCGCGTGGGTTTGGAGGCGAAGTCGCCTCCCGCCCCAGGTCTCCACCCCGCTCCGGCCCAGCCCACGCCGTTAGGGGAGGAAGTCTCCAGGCTTCCCCCAAGCACGCGACAGCGAGCCGTCTCCGAGCGCACGGGGCGAGGCCCTGAGGGGAGCGAATGGCGACGGTTCAAACACGCTGGCGTCGGCCAGGGCTTCCTCACTAACCCGGCAGGCCTCCTCAGCGGCGCCCGCTTCGCCCATGGCCGCTGCCGCCTCCGCTCCGTTCGCCTGAGCGTCGGCGCGCCCTCTGACCCCTCACGCCAGAAAGCGCGGGAACGAATCCACGCCGGGGGTCGGGAACGGAGAGCCGCCAGGCCCAAACCTCCCAGAATTTGCGCAGTATTCTCGGCCTAGAGAGCGAGGAGTGGCCTTGGCGAGGTCCCTCTTTGGCTCTTCTGGCTTAGCCGGGGTTTTAAACTTGTTATCTGCAAAGCAGAAGGAAAGTCAGCCCCTGATGTAAGTGTCAAGTAAAATAAATCGGATGGGTCCTTTCCTGTTTGGCGAGGAATGCTACACTAAGGGGGACTGCGTTCAAATGGGCAGTCTTTGCTGGAAACCTCGCCTCCGCGCGCCTTCCCTCGCTCGGATTCAGGCGCTTTTACGTTAAGGGTTGAATTTTTGTGTCAACAGGCACCTCGGGAGGTCGCCTAGACAACTGAGCGGAGCAACTGAGATAACCCCCGCTACGTGTGGAGTGACCTAGTCCATTAACTTGCCCCAGCACGCCCGCTGAGTCCGCAAAATATAGGATGGCCTCGGGTTTTAGATGAACCCAAAGCTAAGATTTCTTCCCTCTCTGGAATTAGCAAGCAGCCCGCCCTGCCCAACTCCCCTGGAAGCGCGCGTGCTCGCCAGGCCTCGGGACGCCTGCGCGGGCGCCCTTGCACTGGCACCAGGGCTCCGGGGTAGGGGCGCACCGATCTGCCCAAGCCTCTGCAGGCACTGGAGGAAGGCGAGCCCTCCACCCGCTCAACAGGCCCCAGTGCCGGCCTTTCCTTCCAGTCTCAACTCCACCCGGGGGCCCGGGGGCTCCACAGTTAAAAACTCCACGCCACGGAGATCGCAGGTAAGCTGCTGGCTCAACGAGGTGTGCTAAATGGGATTAAAGATCCTGGACCGTGGCCAGGCGCGGCGGCTCAAGCCTGTAATCCCAGCGATCAGGGAGGCCGCCGCGGGAGGATTGCTTGAGCCCAGGAGTTTGAGACCAGCTTGGGCAACATAGCGAGACACCGTCTCTACAAAAAAATAACAAATAGTGGGGCGTGATGGCGCGCGCCTGTAGTCTCAGCTACTTGGGCGGTCGAGATGGGAGGATCGATCGAGTCTGGGAGGTCGAGGCTGCAGTGAGCCAGGATCACCGCCAAGATCGCGCCACTGCATTCCAGCCTGGGCGACAGAGGGAGACCCTGTCTCAAAAACAAACAAAAAATCCTAGACCGTTTACAAACAGCCTTCCGTCTCTTCCTGGTCAAGTCCTAACCCTGGCTAACCTCGCCGTCTACAGCCTGAATTTTGGCAACCGAAAGGCAGCGCCGGCGCCACGTGCACACGGGCTGGGCCGCTCCGCCAGCTGCCAGGGCCACTGCCGCGCTCACTCCCAGAGCGCGCTGCGAGCCGCGGCGCCTTTGTGACGCCATCAGCCCGCGCGCCGCCGCCGCCGCCTTCTGTGCAGTCGCGGCCCGGGCGGACGGTGGCTGGCTGCTCCGCAGCGCTCGGCTGGCTGCAGCGGCACCGCGGGTTGCGCGGCCGGGGATGCTCCAGCGGGCGCGATGGCCCCCGCCATGCAGCCGGCCGAGATCCAATTTGCCCAGCGGCTGGCGTCCAGCGAGAAGGGCATCCGGGACCGAGCGGTGAAGAAGCTGCGCCAGTACATCAGCGTGAAGACGCAGAGGGAGACAGGTGGGCGCACGGCCGCGGTCAGCCGCGCCACATGGCGGGCCGGGGGCCGGGGCTGGGGCTAGGGCCAGGGCCCCGGCACGGAATGCGGCTTCCACGTGTTGTCGTGACACCCAGCGTGTGCTTCGGTTTCCGCGCTGCCGGAACCGCTTCTTGCTGTGTCTAGTGCCTTTTTACACTTAAGGAAACGGGTTGAGGGGGTTCCGTTACTTATGAAAGTCACAGTAAGCGGGGAAGCTGAGAAAAGACCCACATGGGTCCGATTCCCCAGCCGGCATCTCGAATCACTGGGCTGCCCTGATTTGCCCTGGTGTCCGGTCGGTGATTGCCGCCTTCCTTTGACCAGCACCTTTACGTGACGGGGCTGCAGGAGAGAAGACAGACAAAATCACTACCCTCGAGGATCTATTAGTAATAAAGCAAGGAGGCAAACAGGCAAATAAAGTAGACCTTGTGTAAGTGTAGTAAAGGAAATGAAAACCAGGTAGCAGGCCGGGCGCGGTGTCTCACGCATGTAATCCCAGCACTCTGGGAAGCCGAGGCGGGCGGATCACCTGAGGTCGGGAGTTCGAGACCAGCCGGACCAACATGGTGAAACCCCGGCTCTACTAAAAATACAGAATTAGCCGGGCATGGTGGCGCATGCCTGTAATCTCAGTACTCGGGAGGCTGAGGCAGGAGAATCGCTTGAACCTGGGAGGCGGAGGTTGCGGTGAGCCGAGATCGCAGCATTGCACTCCGGCCTGGGCAACAAGAGCGAAACTCCGTCTCAAAAAGAAAAGAAAAGAAAAAAGGAAAAAGAAAACCAGATAATAGCAAAAAGGGAAGGAGGTTGCTCTTCTTGATAGGCTGTTCTGGGAAGGCCTCTCTGGGCTGATAATCAGCTCAGATCTGAAGAGAAATGAGCGGAAACCGCCTATGCAGAGGCAGGAAAGAGCTTCACGTGCCCTAGGAGTGGTTTGAAAGACCAATAAGTTGGGGTTGGGGGGGCGAGTGTTATGAGATGAAGTTGGAGATGTAGGCAGTGGCCAGATCACACAGGGCTTTGTAGTTTAGATTTTAACGGCACTGCTGTTGGATGATTTCATTTACCTGATCCAAAAATACTTTCTATAAACTCTTGAGTGAGCCCATACAATATGAACTACAATGTGTAATAGAGGTTTTAAGATAAAGTTTTATTTAGTTACTGATGGTACTAATACATTTAGAATCTGCTTAAAAGAACAGATATTATCTCCCCCATCACTGACATTCTCAGTTTGTTTTATTTTTAAGAGAAATCACCAGACTACCCAAAAAAAGAAAATACACTTTCCTGGGAAGTCTGATAGAAAAAGGAATAAAGACCAAAATTCCTGACTTTGATTCTGTTAAGAATCTCCCCAAGAGATTTTGTTTAGTCTCACAGTTCCAGGTACCCCATATATGCTGGTGGTTTCTAAACCTAAATTGTTGTCCCAGCCCATTCCTACTTGCAGCTCGGATGTGCCTTGCTAGCCTGGCTTCTCTACCTGGCACCTCACACTCAGGATGCCAAAAAAAGTTCTGTTTTCTTTCCCCGAAATCCTGTTCTCTGCTGCTGCTCCACTGCCACCTGTTTTCTTTTCTTTTGGTTGCTGGTTCCCACCAGCCATTCAGATTCCAGCCGGACACACGGGATTGTCCTGGACTCCTCTGAATTCCTCATCCTCTTCCCCTGGCCCACATCCAGTGGGAGGACCCCCGTCCTCCCTCGTTCACCTCCTGATGACATAAATTCTTGACCGTGGGCTCTTTGTATCTCACCGAAACTTCTGCGCCCGCATATTCCCCAACTGGTCTCCTTAACTTCACTTGTGTCCCCAGGAATCTGTCCTCCACAGACCAGCCCAGGGTCATCTTCCTAAAACAAATCTGATCCCACATCACCAATATTTTTTGAAATTCAGTGTCTGCAAGTCATGATCTGTCCTCAGGTGCTCTTCCTGCCTAAGCCCCGTGTAACTGCTTCATGTTCCGTCAACAGAATCGGTGATGGTTCTTGGTGTACAGCACACAATTTCTCACCTCTCTGCCTTTGCTTCTCCTGTTCACTCTGCAAAGAATCCCACACCTTCTTCACTGCCAGCATTCAGTTCAGTATCACTTCCTTCAAAAAGCCTCGCCTAGCATCTTGCCCTACTCCTCCAGGGTTCTAAAACATCCATTGTGTCTCTGTTGTAGCACTTAGCTACATTGCTTCTTAATTATCAATGTGTCATCCTTCTCCCGAAACACCGTAAGCTTCCATCTGTTTTCTTAGCCAGAAGTGGGAGTACATGCAACCGTAAAAGGTCTTGGCCTGTACAAGAGTGGAAGACCAGAGGCAATACTTACGGTGCTAAGACAGCCTAGACAGAGCCTTTTGCTCAAACCCTTTGGTGAGCCAGCCCAGGATTTGCAAATGCAGAGGTTATGCGGGGGCCTAAGACCAGTTTACACCAGTGCTCCAGAGTCCTGTCTGGTTAGTGCCTATCACACCCAGAGTGACTTGTCTTGTATATCTTGTTCACCACCACATTGCATGGAGTACAGTGGACCTTCAGAAAATAACTCCGCAGCATGAACGTCGTGGACAGTGATAATGGGACAAGAAAACACAAGGTCTCCACCACAGCTATGCCCCATCACAATTACAGCACAAGTTTGGAAATAACTTGGCCTGACATTCGACTCCCGATGACAGGCTCCAACTTTTCTGCATCTTGTCTTAGGCATCATAAAGGAAATGTGAGCTATCACTCTTCCTGAAACATGAGCTGTTCTGCAGCAACATCAATAGATAGCTTTGTCATTTTAAAAATAAATTGGAAATCTTTGTATTGCTTTAAGTAACAGTGTTGCGCTCTTGCTTTAACTGTTCAAGTTGGGTGCTCACAGTCATAAAATGATCACTCTCCATGGCTTTCATCCATAAGAGCTTATTTGTCCCAATTCATTCATTCATTCATATATTTAGCAAACATTTATGGAGTGCCAACTGTGTACTATTATGTACGCTATTCTTGGCACTGGGAATATAGCAGTGAACAAAACAGACCATCCCTGCCTATCTTATCAGTTCTGCAACTTTAAAAATATTGACTAAAATGGGGAGGCATCCCAAAATCAACCCAGTGACAATTTCATTTGTATCATTGCTTTCTTTTTGGCAGCATACAAAATAACAGTACATCTTATGGTTGATGCTATATTAGATTCAGTGTAGATGATGGAGGATATAAGTTTTTTTATAATGATGGGGTTAGGGTTCTCTCTATCCAAGAGTTATAATAAATAGAAGTTGTGGATGTTCTGACACTGGGGTGTGTTCAAGTTTAACACTTTACCCCCATCTAAAATGGCTTCTGGGCTCATTGCGTGGTGAGAGTGGCTGTTGGATTTGCTCATTTCAAAACTTACTAATATTTCACATGTCTACATGTCTCACTTTGATGTTTACCTCGTTTGTTTTGTGTGTTTTTGTTTTTTGAGACAGAGTTTCACTCTTTCACCCAGGCTGAAGTGCAACAGCGCGATCTCTGCTAACTGCAACCTCCACCTTCCAGTTTCAAGCAATTCTCCCGCCTCACCCTCCCGAGTAGCGAGCGCCCACCACCACGCCTGGCTAATTTTTGTGTTTTTAGTAGAGACGGTGTTTCACCATGTTGGCCAGGCTGGTCTTGAGCTCCTGACCTCATGATCCGCCCGCCTAGGCCTCTCAAAGTGCTGGGATTACAGGTGTGAGCCACACCGTGCCCAGCCTTTGTTTTTGTTTTTTTGAGAGACAGAGACTTGCTCTGTCGCCCAGGCTGGAGTGCAGTGGCACAATCTCGGCTCACTGCAACCTCCACCTCCCAGGTTCAAGCGATTATCCTGCCTCAGCTTCCCAAGTAGCTGGGACTACAGGCATGCACCACCATGCCCAGCTAATTTTTGTATTTTTTTAGTAGAGACAGGGTTTCACTCTATGATGGCCAGGCTGGTCTTGAACTCCTGACCTCAGGTGATCTGCCCACCTCGGTCTCCCAAAGTGCTGGGATTACAGAAGTGAGCCACTGTACCTGGCCTACCTCATTCATTTTGAAATAAATAAACCTATATTGTATTGTTGTAAAAACAGTAGTATTAAGTTTAAGAAATTTAGCCCCAAGAAGAAAATAGAGAAGACAAGACTGATGAAACCAAACTGCTTCAGATAATGTACTTTGCCTTTCAGAGCTTTGAAAGTAATTCAGTAATGAGCATTTCTCTCTTTTACTTTGAATACTTCAAAAATTGGTGGCTTGTTTTTATTAGATTCCTAGGTGAACACACACACACAGACATAAATGGAAAATAGATGTTTTAAAAGGGAACAAAATGGGCCGGGCGCAGTGGCTCACGCCTGTAATCCCAACACTTTGGGAAGCCGAGGCGGGTGGATCACCTGAGGTTGGGAGGCTGAGGGAGGAAAATCACCTGAACCCGGGAGGCAGTGAACCAAGATCGCACCATTGCACTGCAGCCTGGGCAACAAGAGTAAAACTCCGTCTCAAAAAAAAAAAAAAAAAGAAAAAGAAAAAAGGGAACAAAATGTAAAATGTATTCCTAGGAATAGAAAGTGAGACAATTATTATTGTAATCTCTCACCAACTCAATAGTGCTTTGTTCTTACAGTGTTTCACACGTCTTGGGCTTGACCCTAACAATAAATCTTTCATATAGTATAGGTGATAGAACTGAGGCCCAAAAGTCAGTTGACAGTTTTCTGATACTGGGCCCCTGTCAGCAGGAAGCTGGGGCCTGAGCCAAGGTTTGTTTCCGTGCTACTCTGTTGCCTCCTAGAAAAGAGACAATCAGAGTATCTTTTCTCATTGTATTAGCCTGTTCTCACGCTGCTAATAAAGACACTCCGGAGACTGGGTAATTTATAAAGGAAATAGGTTTAATGGACTCACAGTTCCACATGGCTGGGGAGGCCTCACAATCATGGCAGACAGCAAAGGAGAAACAAAGCAAAGGCAGGTCATCCATGGCGGCAGGCAAGCGGGTATGTGCAGGAGAGCTCCCCTTTATAAAACCGTTAGATCTCATGAGACTTATTCAGTCTCACGAGAACAGCATGAGAAAAACCCGTCCCCGTGATTCAGTTACCTCCCACTGGGTCCCTCCCACCACGTGGGGATTATTACAATTCAAGGTGAGATTTGGGTGGGGACACAGCCAACCCATATTACTCACCCAGCCCACTTTGCTGCCCACTGTCCAGGGTCTGTTGTCACTCCGTCAGAATCTACTGTTTTCCATTATGAACGCCTCTGTAGCACATCATACTGTGCCTTTGCCTGTTACAGGTGTGGGCTATCCATAGCAGATGCTAGGCAGACCACATTATCACTTACTGTTGGCTTGACCCAATGGTATACTTACAAAACCATCTGGAAATAAATATGCTGTTTTTAAGTGAGAAAGACCAGAATACAGAATATTATGCCATTTAGGTCACACACACAACTGTGCTTTTCTGCACTACCTGTAACTGTTCTGTAAATAAATGCCCAGGAAAGATCTGGAAAGATACACATCAGACAGGTTGCATCAGTCCCTCTGGTTCAGAGCCTGGGATTCAGGAGGCAGGGAGCAAGACAAGCTTGTGATTATATCACTTTGATGGTGGTAAGGTTCTTTGCAATAAACGTGTTTTTATTAGTTAGGACTCTTTCAGTTGCAACTTGACAGAACATCTACGCCATGCTAGTTTTATTTTATTTTATTTATTTGTTTATTTTTTGAGATGGAGTCTTGCTCTGTCGCTCAGGCTGGAGTGCAGTGGTGCGATCTTGGCTCACTGAAACCTCCGCCTCCTGGGTTCCAGCGGAACCCTTGGTGCCATTCTCAGGATTAAATGAGCGCGCACTCCTAGTTCCTGTGGGATCTGACTGTTAAAGAGCCTGGCACCTTCCTCCTCCCTTGCTATGTGACATGACAACTCCCCTTCCCCTCCAGCCAAGATGGGACACTCCCTGAGGTCCTCACCAGAAGCAGATGCTGGAGCCATGCTTGTACAGCCTGCAGAGCCTCGAGCCAAATAAACCTCTTAGCGTCAGGTGTTCCTTTATAGCAGCGCAACAGACTAAGACAGTGATGCAACTGGAAGTGCAGGAGCATTAACCAGCTTAAACCCAAAGAGAGGATTTGAAGGACCCAGGTTACTGCATGGGGTCAGGCTCAGGGCACTCCTTGTCCTTGCTGGGCAGCTACATTGGGATTTCCCTCCAAGGCTCTCCACCTTCAAGCAGGGTGTGGAGGGACTCTGTGGTCTGGGTGGGGCTTACCCCACGTGGAGAGGCGGCGGCTTCTGCCAATTCAGCAGAATTCCCTTGGCCACAGGACAGGTTCAAGAAAAGCCAAGTGACCCTCTGCAGGTAAAAATCTTCTTGCTCAGTCCTTAGGAGTTTCTAGCTCTCTCCTTACTGGACTTGAAGAGAACACACAGTTTGTACCTGCTCCCAGCCACCTTGTAACACAGGTGGAGCCTGTCTGAGAATGGAGACAATCTTTGGGGCAGCAGAGGTTGCAGTGGAGAAAAACAAGGTGCTGGCACCAGCAGTTGAGCTCCTGCACAAAGTTGTGCTTCACTTTCCCCCTTAAAACTAGCATGGCTGCCAGGCCTGGTGGCTCACGCCTGTAATCCCAGCACTATGGGAGGCCAAGGTGGGGGGATCATGTGGTCAAGAGACTGAGACCATCCTGGCCAACATGGCGAAACCCCGTCTCTATTAAAAACTACAAAACTTAGCTGGGTGCGGTGGCAGGTGCGTGTAATCCCAGCTACGTGGGAGGCTGAGGCAGGAGAATCGCTTGAACCTGGGCAGCAGAGGTTGCAGTGAGCCGAGATTGCACCACTGCACTCCAGCCTGGGCGACAGAGTGAAACTGTCTCCAAAAAAAAAAAAAAAAAATCCTTAATAGCATGAAATATCCAATCTGTTTAGTTTTTCTCATCAAATGTTTTTTATGAGCAATCCAAATGAGGACCACCCACTGCATTTGGTTAATATGTCTGCCAAGACGCTCTTAAAATCTAACAGTTCTTACCCATCTTTTTCTGTACAGTTTATTTGTTGGGGACATAGGTCATATGCCTTGTAGAGTTTCACATATTTGGGGTTTGTTGACTGCATCCTGTTGTCTCACTTACCATGTTCCTCTGTCCCCTGTATTTCCTATAAACTAATATTAATAGTTAAGATTTGACACAGTTGGGTGTTTTTTTTTTTGACACTTACTTTTGTAAGAATACTTCATAGGTTGGTGCAGCGTTCTTCCTGTTGGCATCACCTCTGGCATCTGATGCGTGATTATTGCCTGTGCATGTTAATGATCGGTCGGTGGGTTTGGGTGTTGATGGTCTGACACATCCACTTTCAAGTTTCTTAATATCGTTTGTTTGTTTGTTTGTTTGTTTGTTTGAGAGACAGAGTTGCTCTGTTGCCCAGGTTGGAGTGCAGTGGCACGATTATAGCTTACTGCAGCCTCAAATTCCTGGGCTCAGGTCATCCTCCCACTTCAGCCACCTGAGTACTTGGGACTACAGGCACATGCCACCATGCTCTGCCAATTTTTTGGTTTTGTTGTTGGTGTGTGTGTGTGTGTGTTTAAGACAGGGTCTTGCTCTGTCGCCCAAGCTCCATGGAGTACAATGTTGTAGAGATTGGGTTTTGCTGTGTTGCCCAGGCTGGTCTCAAACTCCTGAGCTCAAGTGAGCCGCCACGCCTGGGTGATATCTTTTCATCTAATGTTTTAGCAGCTATTTATGATCCTTGCCCAAAGCCTTCAATTCACTGGGGATATATGTGGTCTTTGAACATGATTAAATATAAGTGCAGGTCACTGTGGCCAAGAAAAAAAAAGTTACTGCAATCATGACCGCAGTTGGCTCAGCTCTAGTGGGGTTTATTACTCATACCATACTTACATTATCCACGTGAGGATCCCCAGGCATGACTTGTTCATAACAAGAGGGCAAGAGAACCAGTTGGTACATCTTCTCTCCAACTGTGAAAGGGAATATACTTTAATAAACTAGTTTTATGTTAGTTCCTGATATCCTGGTTTTACATGGAAAACTATCATAAAAGAATCAAAATGCAGGCCGGGTGTGGTGGCTCATGCCAGTATTCCCAGCACTTTGGGAGGCCGAGGCCAGCAGATCACCTGAGGTCAGGAGTTCCGGACCAGCCTGGCCAACATGGTGAAACCTTGTCTCCACTAAAAATACAAAAAATTAGCCAGGCGTGGTGGCACGCGCCTATAATCCCAGCTACTCTTGAGGCTGAGGCAGGAGAATCGCTTGAACCCAGGAGGCAGAGGTTGCAGTGAGCCTAGATTGTGCCACTGCACTCCAGCCTGGGCAACAGAGCAAGACTCTATCTCAAAAAAAAAAAAAAGAATCAAAATGTACCATTATAAAATTGTTGATGGGAGAAAGACCCTTAGCAAAGTGGAAATCAATACCTGTAAATTAAGGTTAACGCACTCTGAATACACTAAACAAACTTTGGTCCATTAAAAGGTCTTTTTGTCACTTTTTTTTTTTTTTTTAAGAGACGGACTCTCGCTCTGTCGCCCAGGCTGGAGTGCAGTGGCGCAATCTCAGCTCACTGCAAAGTGCAAACTCCACCTCCTGGGTTCACACCATTCTACTGCCTCAGCCTCTGGAGTAGCTGGGACTATAGGCGCCCGCCACCATACCCGGCTAATTTTTTTTGTATTTTTAGTAGAGACGGGGTTTCACTGTGTTAGTGAGGATGGTCTTGATCGTCTGACCCCGTGATCCGCCCACCTCAGCCTCCCAAAGTGCTGAGATTACAGGCATGAGCCACCGCGTCTGGCCCTTTTTGTCACTTTTTAAGCATCTTTTGGAGTATTAAGATCACATTGATTCTAAATATTTGTTTGCATTCATCTAGTTTATAGCACTTTGTTGCTCCAAAAGATTTCTCCTAGGATCTCCTAGTAAAATCCTAATAAAGACCATTTGTAACACACATCAAGACTTGAGGATTCTGTTTGTGTTCTAATTTCATGTATCCATAGGCTCGGAAACTCCAAGACTGTACACCTACCTTATCATTTTGTGATTCTTTATGTCAGTCAGCAAATACTTTATGACACCTGGGGTCTACTCAGGAGATTTAAGGCTGAACGAGACTGGTCACTCAATCATAGATCATGAAGGCAGAGGTAGAGCCCTGAGTAGCTAGAGTCAGAACAAAGCCAACCCTGGTGATGCTGCAGTAAATGATCACCGTTACAGGGAGGGTGATTGACAAAGCCAACCTGGTGATGCCACAGTAAATGATCACCGTTGCAGGGAGGGTGATTGACAAAGCCAACCTGGTGATGCCACAGTAAATGATCACCGTTGCAGGGAGGGTGATTGACAAAGCCAACCTGGTGATGCCACAGTAAATGATCACCGTTACAGGGAGGGTGACTGGGAGGCAGCCACTTTTGACCTTATACTAGGATCCTTAAAAGGTAATTTTTGCAAAAATATTCCAAAGCAGCGTCAGTGTCCCCAGGCCCTTTCCTAGGCCTTTGACTTTCAGATGTACTGTTTGGAGCTCCTGTGTCCTCAGCCTGGCTGGTTTTCTGTTCCTCGGAAGTGGGGCTGCCCGTTGCTGGGGCTTCATATGACTTGAGCAGGTCCCCCGCATCTCTTGTAAGATTTGCAGTTTTACTTCACAAGACCAGCGAAAATGTCAGTGTGCAGGATGGCTGCACGTGGTGGGCGGGGAGGGCGTTGATGAGGAGCCGATTTCATAAGTGGCCACTTTGTTCATGAATTTTGTGTTGTGATGACATTTGCTTCCTCACGCTGAGGCCGGGCCACCACTGCCACCCTACCCTGTAGCTGATAAAGCTGCAGGTACAGTAGTAATTTATTTGTGTTTCTTTTATAACAATAAGGAAATGTTTGCTTCAATTTTTTAAAAAGACGTGCAAACGAAAGAGAATTAAAATGTATGTGATACTTCACCACTTTCTAAACTTGAAGAAAAGAGATGCATAGACTCTAAGATGTTTGTATTGTTTTGCCTTCCAGGAGGTTTCAGTCAGGAAGAACTTCTGAAAATCTGGAAGGGGCTCTTCTACTGCATGTGGGTGCAGGATGAACCCCTTCTACAGGTAACATGCGTTCCCTTTGTCATGCTCCCGGGTTCTTGCTGTGGATGGATAAGAGACTTGATCACTCATGCTGTGCCAGTCCCCCGATACACTGACGCACACTGACAGTCATGCTTCAAGGAGTCATTTTCGTACCTCTTGTCCATACAGAAAGGGATGCAGGGTCAACACAGTTAGGTGAATTGTCTTTTCAAATAAAAGGAAAGATGTGCATTCGTTGTCAATTTACTATTTCTCTGTAAAATTTCATAGGTTCCATGCTAGGTTTTACATTACTTAAAGTTTCTCTCTTCTGGTAAGTTTATTTTTTGTGGTCAAGGATGGCATGACAGGAGCACTAACTAGTCAAGACCCTGTGAAACCCAGGAGAGGGCAGCCGCGTCACTGGGCTTCGGGTTCCATGGAGAGCAGCAGTAGCGCTCAGCGAAAGCCTCCCTGTTAAAGCCGAGTGCGCCTGCGCAGTCACCCAAACGCGCAGCAGGCTCGGTCTCTCTGTGCGGGGCCTGCTGAGCCCGCTAAGCCCACCACCAAAGCCAACACTAAAGATGTGACTTTCACTTTTTAAAAGCTTTGTTCTGACCCATGAAAGTAGATCCGATCTGCCTCTGTAGAGGGAGAGCAGGCTTGTCCAACCCACAGCCACATGTGGCCCAGGATGGCTTTGAATGCAGCCCAACACAAATTCGGAAACTTTCTTAGGACCTTATGAGATTTTTTTTTTTAAGCTCTTCACTATTACTAGTGTTAGTGTATACTGTGTGTGGCCCAAGACAGTTCTTCCAGTGTGACCCAGGGAAGGCAAAAGACTGGACACCCCTGAGGTAGAGGAACCAGCCTTGAGAAGTGCTTGCAAGTCTCTGATGCAGATGACAGGTCCTCAGGGCAAGATTTTACTTTTCTGGGTTTTAATGTGCAGCCTTGCCACTTCTCCCGTGCTGCGTAATAACTTGTTTTAATTTATTTTTATTTTACTGAACATATTTTGAGTAGGAGCAGGGCAAAATATTTTTATATTACATTCAAAAGTAACAACCAACAGCTTTAGTGGAGGAAGAAAACCAATGGACAGAAATCTCATTTTCCCACGAAGGAAAACAGACCGGGTGTGGTGTGAGTCAGACTGATGAGGAGTGTGCTTTTCTCACGGAACCTCAGAAGAGAGGGCGTCTCCCCAGAGTGAGCCTGCTGCACCTCAGCAGGGCATGCTCTCTCAGGGACCCCTTCACCCAGGACAGAGCCCAGAAGGCTGAGTTTACCTTCACATTCCACCTTGTCTCTGAGCAAGCTGTAGGGAGGACTTTCCCATGGCGTGCAGTGAGCATCCCCAGCATCTCACCTCTGTGAGGTCTGCCCTGCTGTCTTTGTGTTTCACATCATTTCTGGGATTATGATGAAGTTTTCTTTTTTTTTTTTTTTTTTTACAGAGTTTCACTCTGTTGCCCAGGCTGAAGTGCAGGGGTGCCATCATGGCTCACTACAGCCCCAACCTCCCTATTGCTCAGCTGATCCTCCTGCCTCAGCCACCCGAGTAGCTGGGACTACAGGTGCACGCCTCCATGCCTGGCTAATTTTTGTATTTTTTGTAGGGACTGGGTCTCATTGTGTTGCCTAGGCTGGCGTTGAACTCCTGGACTCGAGCGATCCACCCGCCTCGGCCTCCCAAAGTGCTCGGGCTCCCATTACAGGCATGAGCTGCCCAGCCCAGCTTAGATGGGGGTTTTTTGGTTGTTGTTGTTGTTTTGAGATGGAGTCTAGCTCTGTCACCCAGGCTGGAGTGCAATGGCATGATCTTGGCTCACTGCACCCTCTACCTCCGAGTTCAAGCAATTCTGTCTCAGCCTCTCGAGTAGCTGGAACTACAGGCACACGCCACCACGCCTGACTAATTTTTGAATTTTTAGTAGAGATGTGGGGAGTGCCATCTTGGTCAGGCTGGTCTTGAACTCCTGACCTCAGGTGATCCACCTGCCTCGGCCTCCCAAAGTGCTAGGATTACAGGCATGAGCCACTGCACGTGGCCAGATATAGTTATAAAGCCAGGAACTGATAACTAATTTATTTCATCTCTAGTTCATCTGAACTGATAATTAGAGATGCTTTTTTAAACATGTAGCTTAACACAGTTCTTGCAGACATACCAAGTTAGCATAATAGTCCGTCAATATTGGAACTTACACATTTGATAAAATTCAGATATTCGGATACATACTTCTTAGTGGAAGTGACAAGAGGGGCAGACCTTCCCACGAGCGGAAGTGGGAGAAGGAAGCAGGCCGCGGCACAGGCATCTCATGTTGCCCCACGATAACCCCCATGTTTCTCCCCAACCCCGCCTCTGCAGGAAGAGCTCGCCAACACCATTGCACAGCTAGTCCATGCTGTTAACAACTCAGCGGCTCGTAAGTCCTGTTGTTTCTTCTCCTTCCTTCCAAGTTTTCCGACTTGCTAGTTTAATGGGAACCTTGTGCCGGTATTGTGTAGATGTCAGGGGACAAGCCATTCCTGTTTTTAAAAGCTGTGATAAACTTAGTCATTGACTTGGTGAGAGGGCACAGTGTCTTGGGGAGAATCAATTTGACATCTCAAAGATTTCAGAAAATGCTTTTAGAAATAACAATCCTCCAGAATCTTCAAATTCTGAGTTACTTTAACACTTGGAGCCTGGAGAGCCAGATGCAGGGTCCACGGTGACCTCTGGATGCCAGGTTCGTCTTCCCCAAGAGCAGAGCCGTCACTGGTAATAAATACATAGAAGACACCACCGGTCACAGACTATGAAGTAACTCCTCTCAACCATAGAGAAAAAAAATTAGTTAGGGTGCTTCTGTGTCAGGCGTTGATTGCTTATAAAGGAAGAAAAAGGTAGCCGACTTCGTTTGTTCTGCTTAATGCTCTTCAGAAAAGCATCCTAATGATTTCAACCACCCCCAGTGGTGCTCTGAATATTAGCTGACTCATATTGAACAAAATTCTACATATGATGTATAATAGATTTACAAAGATGAAAAAAGAATTGTGCAAAAAGAAATAAAGCCAAAAAATCAACAAAAATTGTTTTTGAATAAAAAAGTGCTAGTTCTGTGGGTCAGAAGAGAAAAATTCAGTGTTTTGTACCGTAGCTCACCCAGATGCCACCTATAATCAGACAAAAATATGAGTTTCTATATGGATTATATAAGTGTCAGAATTAATGGTTTTGAACTGATTGTGAGGTACCAGTGCAGTAGGAAGAGTTACTAGAAGTGGAACAAGGAGTCTTGATTTTAAAAGAAACGTGGCTTTGCAGTGGATAAAGGAAAAATGCTCCAGAGAGCGCTCAAATCTGACATTGCAATGTTGCCAGCCCTTCCGGTTATTCTGTTTTTATTTAAATTCAAAAGACCAAGGCCAGGCACGGTGGCTCACGCCTGTAATCCCAGCACTTTGGGAGGCCGAGGTGGGTGGAACACCTGAGGTCAGGAGTTTGAGACCAGCCTGGCCAACATGGTTAAACCCCGTCTTTACTAAAAATACAAATATTAGCCGGGTGTGGTGGTGCACACCTGTAATCCCAGCTACTCGGGAGGCTGAGGCAGGAGAATCACTTGAACCCAGGAGGCAGAGGTTGCAATGAGCTGAGATCATGCCATTGCACTCCAGCCTGGGCCACAGAGTGGGACCCCGTCTCCAAAAAAAAAAAAAAAAAAAAGTAAAAGATCTGCACAGTCTAAGTGATGTTTAATAAATAAGTGTAAAAGAAATGATTGAGTATATTTAATTATCAACAGATTTTCTAGCTGCCCAAGAATTACTGAGAAAAGTGAATAATAAATAATGCTAGTTTGTTCCTCTTCATTATTTTCTTGCTATATGGTAGTATGTTGATGTGGAAGCCAAGTATTTAGAGCCTTTTGTTCACTGCAGAACACCTGTTCATTCAGACCTTTTGGCAAACCATGAATCGAGAATGGAAAGGAATAGACAGGCTACGCCTGGACAAATACTATATGGTAAGATCTGCCGCAGTTACTTCAAAAACTCCTGGGAAGAAAAGAATGTCCTTTATCTTAAAAACAATGGGAAGGTTTATTTGTGAAGCAAAACAAGCCACAGGCTTAGTGTGAAGGAAGAATTTGAATGTGTCCTGGAAAGCTTCTCTGTTTTGGCTTTTGCAGTTCTTAAGGATGAGTTTGGGGAGCATTAGTGAATACGTTGGGTATTTTTTGAGACAGAGTCTCTCTTGCTCTGCTCCCCAGGTTGGAGTGCAGTGGTGCGATCTCAGCTCACTGCGACCTCCGCCTCCTGGGTTCAAGTGATTCTCATGCCTCGGCCTCCTGAGTAGCTGGGATTACAGACGCGCACCACCATGCTTGGCTAATTTTTGTATTTTTAGTAGAGATAAGGGTTTGCCATGTTGGCCAGGGTGGTCTTGAACTCCTGGCCTCAAATGATCTGCCCACCTCAGCCTCCCAAAATGCTGGGGTTACAGGCATGAGCCACTGTTCTTGGCTATGAATATGTTTTTTGATCTAGAAGGTAAATATGACTGTTGTGAATATTTTTTTACTTTTGGGATCCAGGCCATAACAATTTCATTGGTCCCTTCATTCTGCTGAGCTGATTAATATTTCTTACCTTTCCTTTTTTTTTTTTTTTTTTTTTTTTTTAAACAAAAATTGCCTTTCTTTAGCTGATTCGTCTGGTCCTGAGGCAGTCCTTTGAAGTCTTGAAGCGAAATGGCTGGGAAGAAAGGTCAGTAAACCATTTGAGTTAGCATGTGGTAGCCTTAAAACTTAAAAGGTAGTAGAGTGTCAAGTTTTCTGAACTTGTAGAGTACCAATGAGAAGCTCGATACATCGTTACCTATAGAGAATTGAAATCCAGTAGAAGGCATAAAACAGTTAAGTATATATGACAGTTAACATTTTATCCTGATTTAAGTGATTGCTTTTTTCCTTGTAAAATGATTTCAGCCTTGCATTGATTGTTAGGCTGTGTAGGTTCTAGACGGAGTATTTTTGTTTCTCTTTGGGAAGTGGGACGTGTTGGCATACTGTCATTCACAGAAGCATGCGTTTGGTTCTTTAGCCGAATCAAGGTTTTCTTGGATGTCCTGATGAAGGAGGTCCTGTGTCCTGAGAGTCAGTCTCCTAATGGAGTGAGATTCCACTTCATTGATATTTACCTGGATGAACTCTCCAAAGTCGGGGGGAAGGAGGTAAGCAGCTGCCGACAGGCTGCCCACGGGGTGAGGGGGCCGCCAGTGTTCGCAGTAGTCGCCAGTGAAGTGCTGTGGGGTGGCCCTTCGCATGACCAGCGACTGTAGCAGCGTGAATTGCTTCAGTCCTGTCTGGGAATGTGTCCTAAGCAGCTGGTGGGATGGGATTTGTGCACTGAGGATGTACATGACAGTCTTACCTGTAAAACGGAATTGAAAGCAACCTACAGACTCCACTAAAGAACTCACTAACACGGGGGAGTACTCAGGATCTAGGGAGCTTTATAAAGCGCTAGGAAAAGCTATGCAAATGGTAGACATTTTTAAGGTATATACTCATAAATAGACAAAAGGCTGGAAAGGAAACATACATTTTTTAGTATGCAAATGATTCTCTGAATGTGGGAATGTGCACAGATTTTACTTTTCTTTCACAGGTGTTTTGCAGGGAACATGTATTTTTTTGATTAAAAGAAAATATGTTATATTCAAAACAATAATTCTTTTGTCTCACACTTGGAGGCACTGTCCCTGTTACCCCTCTTGTAGAGGAAGTATATGTATGTCCTGTATCAGGTTTGTCCAGCCCGCAGCCTGAGAGCTGCATGGGGCCCAGGGCAGCTTTGAATGTGGCCCAACACAAATTTATAAACTTTCTTAAAATATGAGGGGTATTTTGCATTTTATTTTATTTTATTTTATTTTATTTTATTTTATTTTATTTTATTTTATTTTTAGCTCATCAGCTGTTGTTAGTGTTTGTGTATTTTAGGTGTGCCCCAAGACAGTTATTCTTCCATTATGGCTTGGGGAAGTCACAAGATTGGACACCCGTGTTGTATATGTTGGGCATATAGGATAGTGCAGGTCAGGCTGGGTGGCTTTCTCCAGCCACTGCACTAAGATACCAAGTAGCTGGAGGGCGGCCTCAGTCTTCAGCCTGGCTCCAGGCTTCTGTGGCATTCCACAGGGGCGCTTTGGGGCTGTGTGAGACAGGCATTGCTTGGTCTAACTCCACCTTTGTAAAAGATGGGAATGGTCCCTTTTTCAAGGACATGTCAAGAAGGGAAAGGCTCTTTCTCAATTTTTCCCTTTTTCTAAATTACAGCTTTTAGCAGATCAGAATCTCAAGTTTATCGATCCATTCTGCAAAATTGCTGCGAAGACGAAGGAGTAAGTGATTCCCCTGTTCGTTCCTCCTGCTCCGTGGCATTTGCTCATGGGAGTTACTTGCCGTCGTGCAGCCTGGCACAGGGTACCCAGGACACTGCTTCACAGCAGAGAGCGGCTGGAGAAGACAGCCGAAGCTTTGAGCAGTGATTTGGCTCTTCTAGCTTCAGTATTTGCCTCACTCATTCCAGGAATGCCCTCCCACACCCAAAGATCTGACCGCTGGGCGTCCCGTGCCTGTCGGGTGGCACTTAGGCAGTTCCTCTCAGATGCTTGCTGGCCCGTGGGGGCCACTCCAGACCACAGCAACGTGTGCAGGGCTTCCCTCTGTGCCCCTGAAGCCAGAAGGCCAGGCCGTTTGTTCTCATCACATGCTCTCCGCTGTGCTTCTACCCTCAGCCACACCCTGGTACAGACCATAGCTCGGGGTGTCTTCGAAGCTATCGTAGATCAGTCTCCTTTTGTGCCTGAAGAGACGATGGAGGAACAGAAGACAAAAGTGGGTGATGGTGACCTCTCTGCTGAGGAGATACCTGAAAATGAGGTATCCTTGAGAAGAGCTGTCAGTAAAAAGAAGACAGGTAGGAGGATGTTCTTGGTCAGTGTAGCTTTCTTTCTGCTAAAATCCTCCTCAGACAAACAGTTTTTAATACATTTGTTGGCATCTTACTGAATGCAACCTAGAGTTGATGGCTCTGCCTCAGCCCCTCCCAAGAAAGGCAGCAGAGGTGGGTTCATTGTGCCTGGGGGGTGCCTAGCGGGGCTCTGGGGAGACCTGAGATCTGTCCCATGTGGCATACACACATTTCTGTACCTCTCAGGATCTCAGGACTCTCCTCGAGGATTTTACCATTGTCACTGCTAGTGCTTTTTGTTTGCTTTGTTGTTTTTTGTTTGACACGCTAACACCTTAGCATGCATGGCCTCATTTCTACGGGTTACTCGAGGGACGTACGCTTGTTTCTGTGGCTGTCCTTTCTCAACTCATGGCTTCCTTCAGGGAATGTTTTTCTTTTTCTTGGGATGTTTAAATGCCTACTGTGTACTGACATAATTCTTACTACTGTTTTGTGTCTGGACTTAATGTAGAATGTGCATTTGAAGTTGCAGGCCCATCCAAACTCTCACCACAGTGCTTTATGGCATCTGAATGCACAAAATAAGGGAAATGGTTAGATCACAGCTTACCCATGCTTTTGAAGTGTTGTATACCCATTTAAAAGCAAAGCTCCTAAAAACTAAGGACCAAAGGAAATGTGACAGACATATATATATATTTTTTAAAGCAGGGTACAAACTCTACATAGAAGGAGTCTGATTTGTTGTTTGGGTTTTCTTTAATTATTATGGCTATATAATAGTTGTGCATCTGATTTGTTTTTAAACGTTTATTTGTGCTTTTATTTTAAGTGAGAACATAAAATGTTTGGTTTTCCATTCCTGAGTTACTTCACTTAGAATAATGGTCTCCAACTCTAGCCAGGTTGCTGTGGATACCATTATTTCATTCCTTTTTATGGCTGAGTAGTATTCACGGTGTATATTCCGCATTTTCTTTGTCCACTCATTGGTCAATGGGCATTCAGGCCGGTTCCATGTTTTTGCAGCTGTGGATTGTGCTGCTATAAACAAGCGTATGCAAGTGTCTTTTTCATATAGTGGCTTCTTTTCCTCTTGGTAGATACCCTGCAGTGGAACTGCTGGATCAAATGGTGGATCTACTTTTAGTTCTTTAAGGAATCTCCACACTGTTTTCCACAGTGGTTGTACTAGTTGACATTCCCACCAGCAGTGTAGAAGTCTTCCCTGTTCACCACATCTGTGCCAACATCTTTTTTTTTTGAGATGGAGTTTTGCTTCTTGTCACCCAGGCTGGAGTGCAGTGGTGCCATCTCAGTTCACTGCAGCCTCCACCTCCCAGGTTCAAGCAATTCTCTTGCCTCAGCCTCCTGAGTAACTGGGATTACAGACACCTGCCACCAGGCCCAGCTAATTTTTTGCATTTTAGTAGAGATGGGGTTTGATCATGTTGGCCAGGGTGGTCTCAACCTCCTGACCTCAGGTGATCACCCACCTCGGCCTCCCAAAGTGCAGGGATTACAGGCATGAGCCACCGCGCCCGGCCACCAACATCTATTATTCTTTGATTTTTTAAATTATGGCCATTCTTGCTGGAGTGAGGTGGTATCTGATTATGGTTTTCATTTGCATTTCCGTGTGTTTGTTGACCATTTGTATATCTTCTTTTGAGAACTGTCTGTTCATTTCCTTAGCCCACTTTTTGATGGGATTGTTTTTTTCTTGCTGATTTGTTTGAGTTCCTTGTAGATTCTGGATATTAGTCCTTTGTTGGCTGCATAATTGGCAAATCTTTTCTCCCATTTTGTTTGTTTATTCTGCTGATTATTTCTTTTGCTGTGCAGAAGCTTTTTAGTTTAATTAAGTCACAGCTGTTTCTGTTTTCATTGCATTCACTTTTAGGTTCTTGGTCATGAACTCTTTACCTAAGCCGACATCTGGAAGAGTTTTTCTAATGCTATCTTCTACAATTTGTATGGTTTCAGGTCTTATATTTAAGTCTTTAATCCATCTTGAGTTGGTTTTTCTATAAGGTGAGAGATGAGGATCCAGTTTCATTCTTCTTGACAATTACCCCAGCACCATTTTTGAATAGGGTGTCCTTTCCCCACTTCGTTTTTGTTTGCTTGGTTGAGGATCAGTTGAGTGTAAGTATTTGGGTTTATTTCTGGGTTCTCCTGTTCCATTGGTCTACATGCCTATTTTTATACCAGTACCAGTACCATGCCATTATGGTGACTATGGCTTTATAGTATAGTTTGAAATCGAGTGTTCTGATGTCTCCGGGTTTTTGAGGGTTTTTTGTTTTTTTGTGTGTCTTTTTTTTTTTGGTGTTTTGGTGTTTTGGGTTTTTTTTGGCGGCGGGGAGGGGAGAGAGACAGAGTCTTGCTCTGTCGCCCAGGCTGGAGTGCAATAGTGCGATCTCAGCTCACTGCAACCTCTGCCTCCCATGTTCAAGCGATTCTCATGCCTCAACCTCCCTAGTAGCTGGAATTATAGGCGGGTGCCACCACGCCCAGCTAATATGTCTTTGTATTTTTAGTAGAGATGGGGTTTCACCATGTTGGCCAGGCTGATCTCGAACTCCTGACCTCAAGTGATCCACCAGCTTCAGCCTCCCAAAGTGCCGGGATTACAGGCATGAGCCACTACTCCCAGCCTCTAGATTTATTCTTTTTGCTTAGTCTTGCTTTGGCTATGCAGGCTCTTTTTTGATTCCATATGAATTTTAGGATTGTTTTTTCTAGTTCTGTGAAGAATGATGATGGTATTTTTATGGGCATTGTGTTGAATCTGTAGATTGCTTTTGCCAGTATGGTCGTTTTCACAATATTGATTCTACCCATCCGTGAGCATGGGATGTGCTTCTGTATTTCCATTTGTTTGTGTCATCAGTGACTTCTTTCAGCAGTGTTTTGTAGTTTTCCTTGTAGAGATCTTTCACATCCTTGGTTAGGTATATTCCTAAGGTTTTTGAGGTTTTGTTGTTTGTTTTGTTTTTTGTTGTCATTGTTGTTTTGGTAGGGGTTTTTTTGCAGCTGTTGTAGAAGGGAGTAAGTTCTTGATATGATTCTCAGCTTGGTCGTTGTTGGTGTATAGCCATCATACTGATTCATGTAAATTGGTTTTGTATCCTGAAACTTTGCTGAATTCATTTACCATTCTAGGAGCTTTTTGGGTGAGTGTTTAGGGTTTTCTAGGTATATGATTGTATCATCGGCAAACACGGACTTTGACTTCCTCTTTACCAGTTTGGATGCCGTTTATTTCTTTTCTGTGATTGCTCTGGCTAGGATTGTTCGTGCTTTTAAAAAATCTGGAAGGATAAACCAAAATGTTTTATTTATTTATTTAGAGACAGGGTCGGCCGGGCGCGGTGGCCCAGGCCCGTAATCCCAGCACTTTGGGAGGCGGAGACAGGTGGATTACGAGGTCAGGAGTTCGAGACCAGCCTGACCAACATGCTCAAACCCTGTCTCTACTAAAAATACAAAAAAAAAAATTAGCCAGGCATGGTGGCACATGCCTGTAACCCCAGCTACTCAGGAGGCTGAGGCAGGAGAATCACTTGAACCTGGGAGGCGGAGGTTGCAGTGAGCAGAGATCGAGCCACTGCACTCCAGCCTGGGCGACAGAGGGAGACGCCATCTCAAAAAAAAAAAAAGAGAGACAGTGTCTTGCTCTGTTGCCCAGGCTGCAGTGCAGTGGAGCAGTCATGGTTTATTGCGGCCTCAACCTCTTGGGCTCAAGTGATCCTCGCACTTCAGCCTCCCAAGTAGCTGGGACCACAAGCACACACCTCTTTATTTTTTGTAGAGACAGGGGTCTCACTATATTGCCCAGGCTGGTCTTAAACTGTTAGGCTTAAGCATTCCACCCACCTCAGCCTCCCAAAGTGCTGGGATTAAAGGCATGAGCCACCACACCTAGCCCAAAATGTTAGTATAGTTAGCTGTAGGTGGCAGAATTATGGGTGATTTCTGTTTCCTTTGTACTTCTCTATTTCCTACAGTGATTATATATTATATTTAATCAGAAAAAATCAAGCCGGTTGCAGTGGCTCATGCCTATAATCCCAGCACTCTGGGAAGCCCAGGCAGTCGGATAACTTGAGGTCAGGAGTTCGAGACCAGCCTGGCCAACATGGTGAAACCAAGTCTCTACCAAAAAGTACAAAAATTAGCCAGGTATGGTGGCGGTCGCCTATAGTCCCAGCTACTTGGGAGGCTGAGGTGGGAGAGAATCACTTGAACCCAGGAGGTGGAGGCTGAAGTGAGCCAAGATCGTGCCACTGCACTCCAGCCTGGGCAACCAAGCAAAACACTGTCTCAAAAAATAAATAAATAAACAGATAGATAGATAGATAGATAGATAGATAGATAGATAGATAGAATCAAGAACCTTTTTTTTCTTTTTAATTTTTAGACCTGGTGGACGGGAAGTAATTTTTTTTTTTTTTTGAGATGGAGTTTCGCTCTTGTCGCCCAGGCTGGAGTGCAATGGCGCAATCTCAGCTCACTGCAACCTCTGCCTCCCGGGTTCAAGCAATTCTCCTGCCTCAGCCTCCCAAGTAGCTGGGATTACAGGCATGCACCACCATGCTTAGCAAAATTTGTATCTATCTTTTGGTCAGGCTGGTCTCGAACTCCCGACCTCAGTTGATCCGCCCGCCTGGGCCTCCCAAAGTCTTGGAATTACAGACAGGCGTGAGCCACCATGCCCGGCCAAGAATCTTTAAAAGAAAGAAAAAATACTCTGGCCAGGCACGGTGGCTCACACCTGTAATCCCATCACTTTGGGAGCCTGAGGTGGGAGGATCACTTGAGCCTAGGAGTTGGAGACCAGCTTGGGCAACATAACAAGACCTTGACTTTACAAAAATTTTAAAATTAGCCAAGCGTGATGGCACATGCCTGTGGTCTCAGCTACTCAGGAGGCTGAGCTGGGAGAATCAGTTGAACCTGGGAGGGTGAGGCTGCCGTGAATCATGATCGTGTCACTGCACTGCGTCCTGGGCAACAGAGCTACCAGCGACCCTGTCTCAAAAAAGAAAGAATAAAAGAAATAGTCTAGTCTAGGTGTGGAGACTCATGCCTATAATCCTAGTACTTTGGAAGGCCAAGATGGGAAGATCACTTGAGCCCAGGAGTTTGAGACCAGCTTGGGCAACATAATGAGACCCCCATCTCTAAAACAAAACGAAAAAAAGAAATAGTCTGATTTTAAATTTGGTGTAGATAACAGAGTTGACTAAGGACCTGGAGCAAATTTTATGTGGTCATGGGAGTAGTCTCTGGGTCCCTCCGCTCCCCACATTTCTGTCGCCTAACCTGGACACAGACTCTCTTCCAAGTGCAGTTCCGGACGTTCCCTCCCAGTTGCGTTCATGAAACGTGTGCTGCGCCTGCCCCATCCTCCCCAGGCCTTGCCCTGATGTCGCACCACTAATAAGCTTAGAGGGTTCCAGAAACAGTACACGTTTAAAATAATTTTGAGTTCTCCTGAGTCTGTTTAATCTGCTTCTTCATAGGCTGTAACACTCTGAATTTTTTAAGTGCTAAAAGTTGCATTAATATTGACTTGTGCTTCCTGAAGCATGCTCGTGAAAAGTGACTGTACTGCTGTGACAGGTTCTCACCAAGGTCCTAAACTGACCTGAGACTAGGGCCGGATTCCTGCGTCCATGCTCCTACCCCTGGTGGTCCAGGGCGATGCCGTGTCCCATCCGCTTGCCTGCGTCCCTGGACAGGAGCTTCCCATGCACCGCAGCCTTCGTCCTAACGGGACCACGTGTGGGGGAGGAAATCATCGAAGGCAGCAGGGAATTGGGGTTTTATGGGTACAAAAGGCAAAACATGTGCTTTTTCCCAGACTTACCTTCATTCCCATAGCCTGAACAATCAAAATGTCCTGGGAAATTATAAATGGCTTTGCAGAGTTTTTCTCCTTAAATAAATTTTCTTTCATTTTTTCTTTTTTTGAGACGGAGTCTCGTTGTCGCCCGGGCTGGAGTGCAGTGGCATGATCTTGGCTCACTGCAACCTCTGCCTCCTGGGTTCAAGCGATTCTCATGCCTCAGCCTCCCAAGTAGCTGGGATTACAGGCACCCGCAACCACGCCCAGCTAATTTTTGTATTTTTAGTGGAGACGGGGTTTCGCCATGTTGCCCAGGCTGATCTAGAATTCCTGGCCTCAAGTGATCCACCCACCTCAGCCTCCCAAAGTGCTAGAATTACAGGCGTGAGCCACCGTGCCCAACCTTCTTTTTTGCTAAGAGACACCTAATTAGACAGTGGCTCCTGTGGAAGTAGTCACTTCTGTGTATTTGATATGTCAATAATTTGGTCTTTGGGTATATTTTGACAGCACTGGGCAAAAACCATTCCAGAAAAGATGGACTCAGTGATGAAAGAGGAAGAGATGACTGTGGAACCTTTGAGGACACAGGGCCCCTTCTCCAGGTGGGTAGCAGTTGTTGCTTTTTATAGAATATAGATTTGCTGTGGAGTAGCCTGACTAGAGAATTAGGGTCACAGCTAGTTAAGCTATAAGGCCTGAAGCGTAAACTCCTTTTTAATCCCTTCAGTCACTAAATGTCACCTTCTGAAGAATAACCTTATTGGAGACAAGGAAATGTAAATATGATGGAGTTTTGAAAGAGATAGTAGCACTTATTTTGAATGGCTAAGCTCTCCTCTGTTCTCTACCACAGAGCCAGCTCTAGTGGCACTTTTCAAATAAAAAAAAGTTTGCCAAGTACAGATTGCAAATCTAGATTAAATTTAAAATTTAATTACAAGCTCACGCCTGTAATCCCAGCACTTTGGGAGGCCCAGGCGGGCAGATCACCTGAGGTCAAGAGTTCGAGACCAGCCTGGCCAACACAGTGAAACCCGTCTCTACTAAAAATACAAAAATTAGCCCGACACCGTGGCGCACGCCTGTAATCCCAGCTACTCGGGAGGCTGAGGCAGGAAAATCATTTGAACCCGGGAGGTGGAGGTTGCAGTGAACTGAGATCATGCCACTGCACTCCAGCCTGGGTGACAGACTCTGGCTCAAAAAAAAAAAAAAAAAAGCACACCCAGGTAAATTTTGTTGTGGGTACTCTATCACAATTTTTTTTTTTTAAGAATTGCTTACCCAGCTTTTCCCAAGAATAATTTTTTTTTTTTTTGAGACAGAGTCGCACTCTGTCTCCCAGGCTGGAGTGCGGTGGCTCGATCTCGGCTCACTGCAAGCTCTGCCTCCTGAGTTCACGCCATTCTCCTGCCTCAGCCTCCCGAGTAGCTGGGACTACAGGCGCCCGCCATCACGCCCGGCTAATATTTTGTATTTTTAGTAGAGACGGGGTTTTGCCGTGTTAGCCAGGATGGTCTCGATGTCCTGACCTTGTGATCCACCCGCCTCAGCCTCCCAAAGTGCTGGGATTACAGGCATGAGCCACCGCGCCCGGCCTGAACATGCATTTTTCAAAGGTAGTGCTTGTGCTCCTGGTTGCCAAGTCCCAGCACAAGCTTGTTTAGCCTATCTGTTGCCAAATGCTTCAGTAAGGGTTTCTCTTACTAGCAGATGTAAATGGCCAAGTCAGGCAGTGTTGTTTGGCTGCAGACTTATGTTTAGTTTCTCTTCCTGCCTAGTTTGACTATAAGGCTGTTGCTGATCGACTCCTGGAAATGACCAGCAGGAAGAACACGCCCCACTTCAACAGGAAGCGCCTCTCCAAACTCATCAAGAAGTCAGTAACTGGGGAGAGGGTTCTGACATCATCATTCCTTTAGTTCTCATCTCCTGGTGTGGGACAAGCCATCTGCATGCTTATCTTTTTTCTTTCTTCTTTTTTTGTCCTTTAATGCTTTTGTGTATAGCAATGTAATAGACACATGTAAACTGAAAAGCTTAATGGAAACAGCAGTCCCACCCCTCAGGTTCCATTCTTCCAGTGCAGCCATACTCATCTCTTAGCTGCTTTAGAATGATGTGAAGTCTATTCATGTCTAAAATGAACCAACCAGAAACTGATGTGAATCTGCTATTTAGGTGTCTTCTGCTGGTGTGCTGCTGAGATAGATAGGGTTAATTCTTTACCTCTCCCCTCCCTCCCATATGGCTATGCCAAAAGTGTTAGTTAATTCAGCTGTCAGTGTTGATGTCACTCTGACCATAGTGACATGATGACCTGGAATTCATGGAGGGCCTCGTGTGGCTTGCTGTCATTGGTGACAACAACTGTCTGATCACACTCTAGGAGCCGGGCACTGCTCTGAGCACTTTGTATACATTCAAGTATTCCATGTTAAGCCCCCAGAAAGTAGCTCCTGTAGTTTTGCCCATTTCCCAGCTGGTTCTTAGGGCACAGGATGGTCCTAGCTTGCCTGAGGTCCCTGCCATCCAGTGTCTCCTCCCCCATGCACCTCCCCACACTGCGCTTCGATGCGTCTTGTTTGTTCTAATGCACAAAAATTGTGTGAAGCAAAACATGGCTTCGCCTTTCTCCACTGGAGAATTGAATATGAGAGAGATCTAAGCTATTTCTGCCTTCAGAAACAAAAATTGAATTTCTTAGTTTGATTTGGGTGTGCCAAGATGCATCTTTGGCCCGCCGTGTCCTTGCTGGTATTGATGGTAACCGAGGGCGGCACTGGCCTTGAGCTTTTTGGCTTTTGTATTGCACCACCCTTCCCTCACAGAATTTCCTGTCTAGCCTCCCCTCCTGGAGGAGAACGTGAATTAACAACTATTTAACTATGGCTTGTATTTTAAAAATCAAATACATATGTCTACAGAAGACAGAAGGGATTTCTTTATGAACATTTGTTATTTTTTTATTTTTTATTTTTTATTTTTTTATTTTTAGATTCCAAGACCTTTCTGAAGGTGAGGCGCGCCAAGAATCATCATTCATGGTGTTTTTCGTGAATATGGACCCCACTGGGGGCGTTGATGCCAAACGCTGAGAAACAAGATTGAAAGAACTTTACTGAAAACCTCTGATAAGAAATAATAGTCCCTAGCCCAGGCAAAATAGCAAGGCCACATCTCTACTAAAAATGAAAAAATTAGCCAGGCGTGGTGGCGTGATCCTGTAGTCCCAGTCACTTGGGAGTCTAAGAGGGGAGGATCGCTTGAGCCCAGGAGGTCCAGGATGCAGTAAGTTGTAATCACACCACTGCACTCCAGCCTGGGTGACACAACAAGACCCCAACTTTTAAGAAAGACAGACCAGCCCTTACCTAGTCATACCGCAGTACAGCGTGGGAAGTGATGCAAGCCTAGGGCTCCCTGCAGCCTGCCCACCTTCCTATCCTGGGCTCTCCCTAACCACCAAAGCAAGAGGGCAGACTGCTCTCATGTGTGGGTACTGCGATGTTTTGGTTTGGTTTTTATTATTTTAACTAGATGGATTTTCAATGGCCTAGGAAGGTTTTAATTGGATACTCTATGAAGGTAAAAAATGTAATTTCTCAGGATCCCTTTCATTTGCTCTTATGGTCAATGGTCCCCCCGGGAAAGGCTGATGCTGTAAGCTTTGTTACATTTGGACAAGTCAGTGAAGTTACCCCATACCCGTCATTCACTAGGGACACTTGGAATTGGGAAAGGCACCAGCAAGCTGGTTGGAATGCAGAGACTGCATTAGCCAAGCGTCCGGGGTCCAGCCATGGAGGGTGTCACCGAGGGCTTGTGATCCCTTGCCTTGCCTTGGTTGAGAAATCCACAAAGCTTTTTTAAGTCTGTAATTCCTGTGTCAGCAGCGCTCAGGTTTGGGTGGGAGAAACGGTGAGGAACGATGATGATGAGGCAGAAATTGGGAGGGGTGCTGCTCTTAGGCCCCTGGGGCAGAGTCTTGAGCGCCTGGGGAAGCTAACAGTGTGTCACTCTGGCATCTAGGAAGCAGTATATCTCAACTCAGTTTTGCGGAGGACATTTCTGCTGATGAAGATGACCAAATCCTCAGTCAAGGAAAGCATAAGAAGAAAGGAAATAAACTTTTAGAGAAAACTAACTTGGAAAAGGAGAAAGGTAAGCTGTAAAGCTAAAAAGAAGGGCACGACTCAGCCCTTGGGGAGCGGCATGCACCATGGAGGCCTCGGAGACTTGAGCTCGTGCCGTCATAAAGCATTAGCAGAGCCCAAAGCTTCAGTCTTTAATGGCTGAGAGGTAAAGGCGGTTTTCCAAGTGTTGTGCTGTTTTTGGTGGAGCCGCGTCCCCACCTCACCCCGCTCACGTCCGCCTGCTCTCCAGGGCACCTCTGCAGGGAAGCAGGAGCTGCAGGGAGCACTGGGGGGCGGCTGTTTGATGACCACTCGAGATCTATGGTTTTTACCCTTGAGCCCTAAAATTAGTGGAAATGGGACTATTTCAGTTCCATATGTGTTTATAAACGGACAGAAGGAAGGCTTCCAGTCACAGTTGGGGATGGAGGAAGTGGGACCAGACGACAAAGGTAGTGGGCGCACCAAGTACCTCAAGGGAGACAGGAACTTTCCTCGTGGTAGAATGTCAGGAAATTGCGTCCGCCAGTCATACTGTCTGAGAATCGCCAGCAGGACTCTGGCCCAGCTGGCACTGGGTGCTTGTTGATGGGTTTCTGTCTTTTTAGGAAGCAGAGTCTTTTGTGTAGAGGAAGAGGACAGTGAAAGCAGTCTTCAAAAGAGAAGAAGGAAGAAGAAGAAGAAGCACCACCTGCAGCCTGAAAATCCAGGCCCAGGGGGTGCAGCCCCATCCCTGGAACAGAACCGGGGCAGGGAGCCCGAGGCCTCTGGGCTGAAAGCCCTGAAGGCACGTGTGGCCGAGCCAGGTGCAGAGGCCACGTCCAGCACTGGGGAGGAGAGTGGCTCCGAGCATCCTCCAGCCGTCCCCATGCACAATAAAAGGAAACGGCCACGGAAGAAGAGCCCGAGGGCCCACAGGGAAATGTTGGAATCAGCAGTGTTGCCCCCAGAGGACATGTCTCAGAGTGGCCCGAGTGGCAGTCATCCTCAGGGACCTAGAGGGTCCCCGACAGGTGGAGCCCAACTCCTAAAAAGGAAGCGGAAACTTGGAGTTGTGCCCGTCAATGGCAGTGGCCTGTCCACGCCGGCCTGGCCTCCATTGCAGCAGGAAGGCCCTCCCACAGGCCCCGCAGAGGGGGCGAACAGCCACACCACGCTGCCCCAGCGCAGGAGGCTGCAGAAAAAGAAGGCAGGGCCCGGCAGCCTGGAGCTCTGTGGCCTGCCCAGCCAGAAAACAGCAAGTTTGAAAAAGAGGAAGAAAATGAGAGTGATGTCAAACTTGGTGGAGCACAACGGGGTGCTGGAGTCCGAAGCTGGGCAACCCCAGGCTCTGGTAAGGTGGGAGCACCCACAGGCCAGCTCGCCACAGAGGCACTCACTCGCGTCCATGGGGCTCCACTGCCTCCTGAGAGGAAGGGTGGGGGCTGGCGGCCAGGCCTCTGGACTCAGCAGCAGTTAGAATAGGGTGTGTTCATAACAGCCTTCACTAAGGAGGAAATCACAGGTGACCAGTACTTCGGTCCTCCTCATCGGCCACCTTCACTCCCTTAGGCCACATGCTTGGGTTCGGGAGGGCCCACTCCAAGCTGGGAAAGTTATCCCTTGGGCCAGGCACTCCTGCCCCAGGCGTGTTCAGGCCAGTCTAGGCCTCTGTCAAAGGCAGGTCTGGTTTTCTTCATCAGCGCATGGCCAGTCCAGGCCCCTTTGGCAAAAGAGGAAGCCCAAAATTCTCTTGCTTCACTCACCTTCTTTTCTATATTCTTTTCTTTTCTTAGCTTCCCCCCTACCCCCCAGCTCAAGAAACTTCACTAGCAGGACCACTTATCTTCTTAATGGAAAGACTTTCCTTCCACTTTGATTTCTAGAGCCAGATATAAATGAGGAACCAAGCTGTTGATCTGGTCTTGGGTCTGGCTGTGTCACCCAGGCTGGAGTGCGGTGGCACAATCTCGGCTCACTGCAACCTCCACCTCCCAGGTTCAAGCGATTCTTCTGCCTCTGCCTCCCAAGTAGCTGGAATTACAGATACACATCACCATGCCCAGCTAATTTTTGTTATTTTTGTAGAGACAGAGTTTTGCCTTGTTGCCCAGGCTGGGCTCAAGCAGTCCACCTGCCTCGGCCTCCCAAAGTGCGGGATTACAGGCGAGAGCCCCCGCGCCTGGCCCTGATCCGCTTTTCACACCACCTCTGGGCGCCCTGGGCTTCCAGGCCAGGGCCGGCAAACGTAGTGTCACTGCAACAGAGCCACATCCACTTGTATGTGCAGGTCTGTGGCCACTTTCATGCTGCAGCGGCAGAGGGGAGTGGTAGAGACAGAGACCTGCGGTCTGTAAAGCAGAAAATAACTCTGCCCTTCACAGAGTTTGCGCACCTTGGTCACCTCTTGGTTTGCACACACCGCTTTGCGGAGATTATGACATCTCTTGTTTAAGTGGACATGTGTGGACCTGGTGAAGCGCTGGTTTGGGGCTAAGAGTGTCTGCAAGTGGCTAGTGAGTGAGTTTATGGTCAGGAAAGCCTTACCCAGGGGCAGCAGTGCACTGAGCTGGACGGCAGGAGGCCCATTTCTAGCCTCGAGTCTCTCCTACCTCACAGTGCCGCCATCTCCTCCCTGGACTGCAGCCTGCCCCTCGTACCCTCAGCGCTGCTCCCTCACTAAGAGGGCCAGAGACATTGCCTTTCTTGCTGTCGTCTCAGGCCCCTGGCAGCCTATTGTAAAGAGGATGGGGTGTTGCTCAATAAGTCCCAGGGTCAAGGGAAGCTTTCCCCTGCCATCTGTCATGGCACAGGGAAGGCGCACAGGAGAAGCTCCTCGGGCTTCCCTGCCCTCCAGGCGGCACACTTGAACCTGCCGGAGCCACCCGTGTGTCGGCAGCGGCACTGGGCTGCCCACACCTCTGAGAGCCAAGTACGAGACCCGGTCTCTCTCTGGGTGGCTGTCAGTTGCTGCACACGCAATGAGTGTCCTGGGCCTGCCTGTGAGGGACCCACAGCCCCACATGGGCATCACTGTCCTCCACACCAGACTGCCAGCGCAGTGACGATTCAGCTACAAATGGGAGAGTCGATCTTATTAACAGATCGGCTTTGAAAGGCCAAAATCCCCATTTTGAAGATGAAGATAAAAGTGGGTCCTTACTCTGACGAGGCGTTTTCATCGCCCCTCTTGGCATGGTGCCATGATAGCGGTCGTGTTGTGCGTGAAGCCTGAGCTCTGCCGAATGGAAGGGCTGTCTGCAAGTGCGGTGCGGAAGACCGCGGGCCGTCGGGTGGGCTGGATCTGCCTGGGGCTCTGCCTTCCCCTCCTGTGTGTGTGGGCAGCACAGGAGGCTCTGTCGTCTGACCCCTCCTCCGCTTCTCACCCCTCGCTCACGTAGGGAAGCAGTGGGACTTGCAGTTCCCTGAAGAAGCAGAAGCTGAGGGCAGAGAGCGACTTTGTGAAGTTTGACACCCCCTTCTTACCAAAGCCCCTGTTCTTCAGAAGAGCCAAGAGCAGCACTGCCACCCACCCTCCAGGCCCTGCCGTCCAGGTACGCACCCTCCCCAGAGTGGCACAGCACATTTCACCACAAGGGCACAGATGGGCTTGAGCTGACAGTGCTTCCCATGCCGGGCCTGGAGCCCCACTGTGGCCCTCTGAGCCTGTCCACAGTGGACAGGTTCCACGGCCAGGGTAGCATAAGGTCTGAGTGGTCTGGGACCCACCCTGAGGGATCACAGTCAGGAAGGGGACTTTGAGGGGCGGTTGATCCACACATTCTGCCTCCCAGGGCTTCCGGCTCAGGGTTTGCAGAAACCAGTTTTCTCTCGTGAAATGTCACAGTGTTAAACACAAGTGGTGCAAGTCAGCAGTAGGAGGTCCACACAGAAATGTGGGTCAGAGCAGGAACTTGAGGCAGTGCTTCCTGATGCAGGCTGGATCCACTTCCAGGAATGTAAGTAGGAAAGAAGATAGTTGATTGTGGTGAACTGTTGGGATATGCAGATAGCTCAGAGTCCTTGTGCACAAAAAGCTGGAAACTGTGTGTCCATTGTCCATTGCAGTGAGATTCCATCATAGGCATCGTCTCATCGATGTCATAGAGTCTTCAAGTTAGAAGTTCAGAACTCTCCAGCAAAAGGCAGGGGAGTCTTGGCATTTTTCCTCACGGGTTCTCAGTGGTGAACTGTTTTTAGGACAGTTCAGGCATCCTCTCTGTTTGCCTTTCTTCCCTGGATCGTAGAACCCTGCAGCGGTAATGAGGCAGTGACCGCAGATGGGCCAAGAGTGTGGGCACCACTGACCCTGGGCTGGGGGGTTGCGTGTGTGGGACGCTGGGAAGGACAAAGGGCGGTCCTGGTGAAGCCCCGACAGGAGGGTCGGTTTCAGTCTTGGCCGCAGTCCCTTTGGCCTCTCCCTATATGTGCCACTCAGTAAGCAGCAGTGTGGGCGGCATACCCTCCAGGGCAGGTTCTCCAGAAAAATCTGACTAAGCGCCTCCACTGCACTTGCGTCACTCCTTTTGTTCCTGTTATTTCTCTTCTGCAGCTAAACAAGACACCATCCAGCTCCAAGAAAGTCACCTTTGGGCTGAACAGAAACATGACTGCCGGTAAGTGGGGTTTTGCCAGCGGCAAGCTTCTCTGGAGCACAGCTGCAGCTCCTGGCGCGGCTCGCAGCCTGGTTCCACAAGGCGGTCGGGGAAGAGGGGGGTCCTAGCTCCTCACTGCCCATTTCTTTATTTTTATTTTTTTTTTTTTTTTGAGACAGAGTCTCGCTGCTCTGTCACCCAGGCTGCAGTGCAGTGGCGAGATCTTGGCTCACTGCAACCTCCGCCCCCCCAGGTTCAAGCGATTCTCCTGCCTCAGGCTGCCGGGTAGCGGGTAGCTGGGATCACAGGTGCACGCCATCACATCCAGCTAATTTTTGTATTTTTAGTAAAGATGGAGTTTCACCATGTCAGCCAGGCTGGTCTCAAACTCCTGACCTCAGGTGATCTGCCTGCCTCGGCCTCCCAAAGATCTGGGATTACAAGCGTGAGCCACCGAGCCCGGCCCCTCACTGCCCATTTCTGAGTCAGAAGGAAGCACCTATGTGTCTGTCCCTCATCCTCAAAGGGCTGTGAGTGGGGTGCCAGTGGTGAGTGGGCAGCCAATTGCCTGGGACCTGTTAAGAGAAGCTACCTGGTGAGACGTGATCCAAAAAGCCGTTTTCCCAAGTGTCTTTCTAAATACTGAAAGCCGTCCCATAGAGAGGCCATTTGAGATCGTAGTGCTCCATCAGCTGTAGCTGTCTCTCTGCGAAACTTCGGAACCACTTGCTTCTTGGGCGACAGAGAAGGGTAACCCCTATCTTCCTACTTTTCATATTGGTGCCATCCATTCGAGTTGCTTTTACAAAGGAAACCAAAGTTTTAAAAAGTAGTATAGGCCAGGCGCGGTGGCTCATGCCTGTAATCCCAACACTTTGGGAGGCCAAGGTGGGCAGATCATGAGGTCAGGAGTTCGAGACCAGCCTGGCCAACATGGTAAAACCCCGTCTCTACTAAAAATACAAAAATTACCTGGGCGTAGTGGCAAGCACCTGTAGTCTCAGCTGCTCGAGAGGCTGAGGCAGGAGAATTGCTTGAACCCAGGAGATGGAGGTTGCAGTGAGCCAAGATCGTTTCACTGCACTCCAGCCTGGGTGACAGGCTGGGTGAGACTCCATCTCAAAAAAAAAAAAAAAGTATTATAACGAATTTAGGACCTGACTCTTGTTGGGAACTGCAAGTAATAGAGAGTATGTGTATGTGTGAGTGTGTGTACATGCACCAGTATATATGTGTGTGTGCGTGTGCATGCACACATGCGTGAGTGTGTATGTTTAGGGAGAAGAGACTCTGAGAGACTGAGGAGCTCACCCAGCCTTTACAACTGGAGAAAATGAACAGTACGAATCCTGCAGCTCCACATAGCACAGATTTGTCCCAGACACAAATGCCTGGTTCACTCATTGTCCAAAACACCCCCACCCCCAATGTTCACCCTTCCAGGAGCCACCCTACCAGCAGCTCCCCTTAGTCTGTGCAGGCAGCCCTGGGCCCTCCCTTGGGAGGGTGAGTTGAGGCATGGGATGTGGCCTCACTGCCCTCCTTTCCTCAGAAGGCTCTTGGGCCTGCTCTCTGCAGGGCCTTGAGATGGCCCTGCTTCGTCCTAGCAAGTGGGTGGGGTCGGCACCCAGGCAGGACGCTGTCTAAGGTGTTGAAGGGACAGCTGTCGGACCCACTTAATATGGGGCCTTGCTCTCATTTGGGACAGAATTCAAGAAGACAGACAAGAGTATCTTGGTCAGTCCCACGGGCCCTTCTCGAGTGGCCTTCGACCCTGAACAGAAGCCCCTCCACGGGGTGCTGAAGACCCCCACCAGCTCACCTGCCAGCTCACCCCTGGTGGCCAAGAAGCCCCTGACCACCACACCAAGGAGAAGGCCCAGGGCTATGGATTTCTTCTGAGGAGCAGCAGAGTCCCTTGTAAAAGACTGCTTTTGTACAGAATGCGCTATAAATTATACCTTTAAGAATGTGGGGCCTTTTTTATGATTTTGTAAGTTCCCATAAGTTGTGTGCACGAGGTTCTGAGAGTGCCCGCAGGCTGCTGCGTCCTGGCCCCTCTGTAGTGGCTGCGGGCGTCTTGGTTGAATCTTTTGCTACAAACCATGTTTGCGTTTGAGCTCTCCAGGATTTTACATTTTTGGGTAACCTCAGTGATTCCCATTGGTGTAGGAAATGAGACCCTCTCTGAAGCTGAGGAGAGCACGTTGATCTGAACTTTAAATCAATCAGTGCTGCTGGCACAATGAAAGGTGGAACTGCACTTCTGTTGAGCTCTCAGTTCTGCGGAATTTGGTACTCATTACCGTATTCGCCGTACTAAGTTGGTTTCTGTTAGTCTTAACAGTCTGTTTTCTTTTAAAAGCATGTAGGGCTTCATTGCCATGTTCTGTGGGTGTTTGGCAGGTTACCGATGGGGAAGATTCTTGTCACAGAATCAGCAATACCATAGTTTTTCTACATGTGCTCAGCTGGGGGTGTGGACAGGTAGGGGTGGGGAAAGAAGAGGCTCTGCGTTCTGGGGGCTTTTTCTTCTCCTCCCCCTACCCGGTTTCCCTCCCTGTTTTCCTACCTCTACGGCAAGCCCAAAGTGTCTTCCCGGGAGCCCAGCGCAGCCCCCGGCTCTTACCCAGGACCCCGCCCCGTGCTGAGCCTTCTGCTGAGGTCCTTGCGTGGAGCACACTCATTCCTCCAAGCCCTTGCGCTCCCGTTTCTCTCTCTCTCCGTCCACGTTCCAGCCGAGTCACTGCCTGACCGGCTCCATGGCAGCTCCCCATCTTCCCTAGAGGCTGCCTGCGCATCTGGAGCCTGCGCTCCGGCTCAGCGACCTTTCCTCTCAAATGCGGAAGCGTGCACTTACAGTTCAGACCGTTCTCCTGTAAGTTCATTACAAACACGGGCGGAAGGCACTCAGGCTTTCGTTGGAGAAACAGAAATAAGGCCTTCTTTTGAGCAGCGATTGCTGGATCATTGATCTGTTTGAGGAAGTGTCTGACCTGGGCCTGAGAGCTGGAGAAGGTGCAGATTCAAAGTGAGCGGCTCCTGAGGAGAGCCGCCAAGGCTGCTCGCCTTCTCCGTGGCTTCCGCAGCTACCGTCTGCACGGTGAGAGGGCACGGGCACACGGTTCGGGCTGGCGTGCAGCTCTCCCAGCCAGCCACGCTCTGCTCAGGCCTGGAAGTGAAAGCCGCCTCCTTCCCGTTATGCCCCCCATACAGGAGCCTCGGTTTTTCAGCAAAACGCGGCCAGTCCCCTTCTCCACTGCTGCCTCCCAGCAGAGGGCCCCAGGATCTCCAAGGTCCCAGCTATGGCTTTGGACAACGTGGCTTCGGCCCCTGGGGTTGCAGAGCTTGCATTGGGTTTACCTCGGTCTCATTCATTCATGGAGCCAAGGGTGGGGTTTCACCTGCGAACATCAGACTGACTTGCTGGCGTCAAGAGCAGTTGACTCACTGATGAAGGCCCTGGTGAGGAGAAAGCACTCTGTTCTTCGCCTACTCTGTAATCGTTTTGTCATAATGAGCCATGAAAAAAGTAATGAACTTGTGCTGTTAATCGTCACTGTAATGAGAAGTCTTACGTACAACATAGCTGTGGTGGCTTAATGGCTGCATTAGATAGGATCCTCACATCCCATTCAGAACCAAAACTGATACAGTGAAACAATTAAGGTGAGCAAATAGTTTTAACTTTTCTTTTTTTTTTTTAAGTTTCATTCTTCCTAGAATATTTTTCTAACAATTTTTATTTCAGCTTTAAAGATGGGTCATATAGCCAAACGGGCCATATAATCCAACATTGTTGAGATGTCTTAGGACATCTAAGGCAAAACTGGCACATTTGTTCTGCAGACTATTGCAGGAATGTTTTTTCCTAGCATTTCTATATTATCTGTCCATTCTGAGGAACCAGTGAATGTCCTATAAATGCACCTCCTGTCAAAACCATGCCTGAGAGGTCCCGGCTGGGAGTGACAGGGTGCTTCTTAGATTCTATTGGTCCTTCTCTCATTCTCCGAACTTACTCCTTTTTATGGGTAAGTCAACTAGGTTTACAGTCCCTTATTTTTAATGCCTAAGTTTTGACAGCAGGAAGAAAACAATTTTTTAAAAATTCTCATTACATAGACGCACAAGAATATGTCACATAAAGAAAATGTGTTTAGAATACTGGTTTTCTATTTACGCATGATATTTTCCTAAGTAAAATTGCCAAGTGGACTTGGAAGTCCAGAAAGGAAAATAATTTAAATTAATGCTGGTGATCTTAACAATATTTTGTAAAATGATGCTTCCCCCTTCTCCATGGTCTAGTCAATTTTGTACAATTAGGTATCTGACTTTACAAGTTTGTTATCCTTTCTAATTTTTACTGAACTGAAAGCACAAAGAAGACTACACAGAAAATCTGGAAACAGTTGCAGGTGTTGGGAGGAAGATGAAATCGAGCTGTCTTTTAACTTTTGTATGTGTTTTATCAGAATTTGCTGGACTATGCTGGCAAGGACTTTGTTTACGATCAAATTGTACTAGTGTCTGCAGGGTTTGTCAGTACTCGTCAAAGCCAAGTCCAATTAAAAAAAAAAGTCTTTGCCCTCCAATTTGTGTTTGATGTTGACTTTCAGTATGGGTAAAAATAGGCCTCTTTGGGAGCTGTTCCAGCACAGCAGAGTTGGGAAGATATTGGTGTTGGTCGGGTTTGAAAACAAGACTCTGGGTACCATTCTCTTCATCTCTCTGCTGCTGCCAGAGCCGGTGGGGGCGCTGCTCCGGGGATCGTCTCCAAGTGCTTGAAGCAGGCCTCACTGCGCACAAATGCCCTTGCTCACTATCGTGTCTAAAACATCACTCCACAGGCCTACGCTTGTGACGATGAGCGGAGAAGTGCCAGTGTCCCGGGTGGAGATCTCCCACTGCAGCCCAGAAACTGACTCCAGCTAGGGTGAGGCGGGCACAGGGAGGCTGCAGCTGGGTGAGGCGGGCACAGGGAGGCTGCAGCTAGGGTGAGGCGGGCACGGGTGGGCTGGTACCCAGCAGACAGCCTGTTCTGGGTGTTGGCAGTGGGTGTGGTCAGTGTTGGGCAAGCAGAGTACAGGCATGGCGGAGTCTTTATAGGCCCGTGTTCCCCGAAACAAATTTTTCACCTGTTCTTTGGATCCCAGACAAGTCCACAGACAGACACTGAACAAGCAAGCAAACAAAAACAAACCCTGGGCCAGGCGCGGCGGCTCACCCCAGTAATCTCAGCCCTTTGGGAGGCCTAGGCAGGCAAGTCGCTTGAGTCCAGGAGTTTGAGACCAGCCTGGGCGACATGGCAAAACCGTGTCTCTACAAAAAAAAAAAAAAAACAAATAATTAGCCAGGCGTGGTGGCGTGCATCTGTAGTCCCCGCTACTTGGGGGCCTGAGGCAGGAGGATTGCTTGAACCTGGGAGGTCACGGCTTCAGTGAGCTATGATCATACCACTGCACTCCAGCCTGGGTGACAAAATGAGACCCTGTCTTTAAAAAAAAAAAACAAGCCCTAGAGGAAGAAGGAAATCTGTTGTAATGTATTATTTAAAATGTCCAGTTTTCAACAAAAACAAGGTAAGACATTCAAAGAAACAAAAGAGTGTCACATACACAAGGAGCAGAGAGGCAATAGACTGGCTTTGAGGGCACCCAGGTGCTGATCTTAGCAGACAAACTTCAACCAGCCCTTATCAATATGTTCCCATCACTAAAAGAAACTATATTTAAAGAAATAAAAGATGGGGCCGGGCGCAGTGTCTCACGCCTGTAATCCCTGCACTTTGGGAGGCCAAGGCGGGTGGATCACCTGAGGTCAGGAGTTCGACACCAGCCTGGCCAACATGATGAAACCCCCGTCTCTACTAAAAATACAAAAATTAGCCGGGGAGGCTGAGGCAAGAGAATCTCTTGAACCTGGGAGGCAGAGGTTGCAGTGAGCCGAGATCGCACCCCTGCATTCCAGCCTGGGCAACAAGAGCGAAACTCCTGTCTCAAAAATAAAAATAAATAAAAGATAATATGATGACAGTGTCTCACCAAATAATACCAATAGGTATTTTTAAAAGAAACCAAATAGAGATATAGACGTTAAAAAGCACAGTAAGAGAAATCAAAACTTCAATAGAGTTGAGACCCTCTAGTGAAGTTTTTATTTCAGTTATTGTAGATTTGAGGCGGTAGAAGAATCAGCAAACTTGTAGATTAATAGAAATTATGTAATCTGAAAAAAAAAAATTGATGAACAGAGCCTCAGAAATGCAGGACCGCCAAGTGCCACAGCACACACAGCAGCAGGACCACAGGAGAAAAAATACTCAAAAAACTCATGGCCAAAAACTTGCCAGCTTTGAGTTTATCTTCCTTGGAGTGTGTAGAGTTTCTTAGATGTGTACACTGATCAAAAACTGCACACATCTAAGCAACTCCACACCCTCCCCCAAACACAGCTGAAATGATGAAACTCAAAATGTTGAAAGAGAAAACTTCAAAGCAGCCAGAGAAGGACTCATCACATACAAGAGAACCCCAGGAAGATTAAGATTTTTTTTAAACCTGATTCAGATTTTTTTTTTGACTTCTCATCAGAAAAAAAAAAAAATACACTGAAGGCAGGGATGAGATACTCAAAACGCTGAAAGAAAAAAGCCAAGAGCCCTTCTTAAGTTGAGGTGAAATTCACATAACCTTTTTTTTTTTTTTTTTTTTTAAGACAGTCTTTGTCACGCAGTCTGGAGTGAGGTGGTGTGATCTCGGCTCATTGCAACCTCCACCTCCTGGGTTGTTCAAGCAATTCTTGTGGCTTGGCCTCCCAAGAAGCTGGGATTGCAGGCATGCGCCACTACGCCCAGCTAATTTTTGTATTTTTAGTGGGGACAGGGTTTTGCCATGTTGGCCAAGGCTGGACTCGAACTCCTGGCCTCAAGTGATCTGCCCACCTCGGCCTCCCAAAGTGCTGGGGTTACAGGCGTGAGCTGCTGTGCCGAGTGGCATAATCATTGTTTAAAGTGTACAGTTCAGTGGCATTTAGTGTTGGGAAAAGGGCTTGTGGAATGCCTGTATAAACTGGCCATGAAAATATGGGACAATAAGTTGTGGAAAGCCACAAGAGGCCTCTGAGGAGGAAAGCCTCCTAATCGCCATCATGTTCGCATGCTCAGAGTGAGACCCGCTCTTATCTGTAAACACTGTGTTCAAGGAGAAGGACACTCCTTTGAAGCACTGGACTGTGGACAGACACACGAGCTCCTGGTTAAGCCCGCTCCCACCAGCTCCTGTCCGATAAGTTAAAGATACGCTGTTTGAGCACAAAGGAGATTCATTGAAACCGGTATTGCTGTAGATTACGCCTATGACGCACTGCCTCCCTTTCACTGTTTCGCCCTGAACATCTGCTTCTCAGATCTAAGTGACTGTACTCAATAAATAGCGTGGAGACCAGAGCTCAGTGCCTTTTGCAGCCTCCATTTTGCCACTGGCCCCCTGGCTCCTACCTTTATGAACTCTTAACCTGTCTCTTCTCATTCCTTTGTTGCCACCGAACTTCGGGTACGCTGTGGGTGGTGTTGAGGCTGGTCTCCAACATTTAGTGTATTGACAATGTTGTGAGACCACACCTCCATCTACTGCAGGCATTTCATCACCCCAAGAGAAGGCCCGCACTCGCTGAGCAGTCAGCCCCGCTCCCCTCCGTGCCAGCACCTGGCAGCCAGCACTTTGTGTTTCTAGATATTTCATAAGTGTGGACTCGTGCTCTATGTGGATTAAGGTTTTGCCAAACGTGTCACCTGTCCCCCCTGGTGTGAGGATGTCTCTGAGGTTCCTGAGAGACTGGGCTGGCAGAGGATGTGCATGTTTCGTTTTAGAAGGTGCCATTCCCGGCCGGGTGCGGTGGCTCATGCCTGTAATCCCAGCACTTTGGGAGGCCGAGGCGGGCAGATCACAGGGTCAGGAGATAAGACCATCCTGGCCAACATGGTGAAACCCTGTCTCTACTAAAAATACAAAAATTAGCTGGGCGTGGTGGCACATGCCTAGAGCCCCAGCTACTCAGTAGGAGGCTGAGATGGGAGGATCGCTTGAGCCCAGGAGGTTAAGGCTGCAGTGAGCCATGACTGCACCACTGCACTCCAGCCTGGGCGACAGAGCAAGACCCTGTCTCGAAGGAAAAAATAAAAATAAGTTATGGGCAATATGGCATTGTGTCCTCAAACACTCCAGCCTGCATTACCAGGTGACATTCCTCTCTATAACTACATCGCCATGGTTACAGGAAACCAACTTAGATCAAGGACATCTTCACACAAGTTCACGTTCAAATTTCCCCCTAGTTGTTCTCAAAACATTTTTTCTTACCGGGAAATAACCAAGGATGTGCAGTGATTCTTGTCTAAAGTCTCTCTTCCAGAGTGTCTGCCCCTCATTTTTTCTGATACTGCATTCTTGAAGAGTGTGTATAACTTTGACCCCGCAGCCCAGTGGGTTGCTTCTGATTGCCCTGGGGATGATCTAGCAGGGTTGTGGCCTGTCCACTCTGTCACAGGGACCCCTGTGTGGGAAGTCCTGGACATCCAACGCCCCTGACAGTGCTCAGCCCCTGATTGACGGCCTGGTTGCTATGACAACTCCAACCTCAGCTTTCCAGCTTTCTCTAGGAAGGGATAACCCCCCTTGGCCCAGCATCAGGACCCAAATCCAGAGCTCACAGGCTGGTTTCCCCGACTTGGTCCTAGTGCAGCTCAGGGCAGCACGTGGGCTGGCGTCTTCCTGTGTGTCCAGGCGGGCAGCCCGAGGAGGCCTGTTGTAACCCAGCCAGAGTGCTGAGCCGGCACCGTGGGGACACAGCAGACTCCAAGAAGACATCATCTTCTCCCCAGAGCTCCTGCTTCTCAAGCACAAATTGTCATCTAACTTTAGTCTCTAAACTGTGGATCTACCTAGGACCACAGAGATCAATAAATTCCAGGGTTAGCACAGCAGGCAGCAGACACATGGCTGGTTTTTGCAGCGCCTGAGAATAAACTATTATTGTACCAACTTCCCAGCTACGTACCGCTTTTCTATAAATGAAACATAAGCCAAGCCAAAGTTTTGTTTAAAAACATAAAGCTAAATGCAGAAACATGACTGGATTTAGGTTTGTTTTCTGAGCCTACAAAGCCTGCAGGAACCAGGACATTGCTGCTGCCTCTGAATGTTCCGTTCCTGCTTTGAAGTTCCCAGGGACTCCGGAAAGGAGGGGCTGCCTGCAAAGTTACAGAACGCCGACCCCCAGTGCCCCGACCAGAACGCACGTGCACACTCACATGCAACAGCTGCAGATGGCCGGGCGCAGTGGCTCCTGCCTGCAATCCCAGCACTCTGGGAGGCTGAGGAGGGCGGATCACTTGAGCTCAGGAGTTCTAGACCAGCCTGGGCAACATGGTGAAACCCCAACTCTACCAAAAATACCAAAAAATTAGCTGGGCGTGGTGGTACGCACCTGTAGTCCCAGCTCCTCAGGAAGCTAACGTGGGAGGATTGCTTGAGCCCAGTGGGCAGAGGTTGCAGTGAGCCAAGATCGCACCACTGCACTCCAGCCTAGGTGACAGACTGAGACCCCATCTCATAAAATAAAAAAAAAAACAAAAAACCACACACACACACACAGCTGCAGCCAGGTGAGGGCCCCATCCTCGGACGCACCCACACACTGACTCACTGAAGGTGGGTGCAGATCAAGGAGTCCCAGGCACTCTCTCCTTTGATAAAAATGCTTGGCACGCCCGCCGAGTATCCAGGCAGTGCCAGGCGCTGGGATACAGGCCAGAAAGACAACAGGGACTGCTTGGAGTCCAGGGACCAGAGAGGAGATGAGACCTGCGACACCATGCAAGCCACAGCTGTCACTTTCAATTTCCTTGCACACTTTTTGTTTTGTTTTTGAGACTGAGTCTTGCTCTGTTGCCAGGCTGGAGTGCAGTGGCGCAATCGGCTCACTGCAACATCCATCTCCCGGATTCCAGCGATTCCCCTGCCTCAGCCTCCCGAGTAGCTGGGATTACAGGTGCGCACCACCACACCTGGCTTATTTTTTTTTTGTATTTTAGTAGGGACGGGGTTTCACCATGTTGGCCAAGATGGTCTCAATCTCCTGACCTCATGATCCGCCCACCTCGGCCTCCCAAAGTGCTGGGATTATAAGCGTGAGCCACTGCACCCGGCTGTAGACACATTTTTTAAAAGAGAAAAAGAAACTGTCAATCTTTTTAAATAATGTATTTCCAAAATATAATTTCAACACGTAATTAATATTAAAAAGTATTAAGATATTTTGCAGGCTTTTTTTTCTGTAGTAAGTTTCCAAAACCAGGCGTGTATGCTGATGGCACGCGTCGCCTGGCACTCTGGAGTCACATGTGGTTGCAGCTATGATATTGGCCATGGCGATTCTACAGCTAAAGCCGAGAGGAAGTTTGTCCAGAGAACAAGTCGGGGTGGGGATCTCAGTAGAGGGAACCGCACCTGAGTAGAGGCACAAAGGAGGGAACAGCCAGTGCAGCCAGGATGTAGGGGGGCTGGCCAGGGACGGCCATGGGGGCCGTGGGGGCCGTGGGCAGGGTTTGGGCTTTGTCCTGTGCACACTTCAGGAGCCACTGGAGAGCACCCACCAGGCAGCAGGGGAAGGAAGGGTCAGAGGCCCGGATGGACCAGAGGCGGGAGGGCAGCCAGGCCTGGGGCCCACACCTGGGCTCAGCGGGCAGGATCGGAGGACCGGCTTCTGGTTGATGTGGGGAGGGCCCAGGGAGAATGGGGAAAAGAAGACAGGGAGGTTTCCAGAGCGTGTCGGCCTCTCTCCTCGTTTCCTGATCCACCTCATCTCCATGGGCACGTTTTCCTTCTGAGAAGAGCTGGGAAGCCCGTCAGCAGGCGGGCCTCTGTCCTCACCTCCACTAACCTGGCCCTTGCAGGCGTCCCAGGCTTCCAGGGCCAGCCCCCTGGGGTTTGGCACCCTGCAGCCTCTGACTTTCTCTTCACTGCTCCTTTGGGAGCACGTGCCAGAAGAGACACTGCCTCCGTGGCTGGCACGGACGACGACGCCCAGCAGGCAGCTGTCTCAGGAGGACAGGCCCAGCTGCAGGAAAGGGCAGCCCCGGGCTTCTGGCAGGGGCTGAGGCAGGGAGGCCAGCCCTACCTGGGGGCTGGAGGTGGCGTTGAGTGGGGGTGTAGGGGGTCCGCAGACGGCAGCTGAAGCCCCTTCTCTGCAGGTTATGCTGGTGCGATTCCCTTTTAGGAAGTAGAGTCCGTGTGGAGAGAACGGTGAGCCGCCTGCGTCCTGTTGCGATTCAGCCCCTGTGTCTTCCCGGAGGGCCCTGCGCCCGCCTTTTGTTCCTAGGACTCGGTGCCTTTCTGAACCCAGTCTAAAAATTGCCGCAGCTCTTTCTGGCGTTAGTCACTGCCTGGTGATTAAGGCTTCAGTCCGTCAATCTTTAAATCCTACAATTATTTCTCCACCCAGGTTTTTAAGAATAAAAGTTGAAAATGTACTGAACTGACAGCTACCGGATTTGATTCCTATTTGATTCGTACCTTTCCCGAGTGGCCCCGATCGCCACCGCAGCGCCACGTCCTGGCAAATCATTCACGCCGACCTTGAGAACTCAGCAGAGGTGCAGACTGACACTCAGCCCCGCCCCCTATCACGGGCTTTCTGCGGGTGAAAGGAGACGTTGCTTTTGTTCCCCACAAGCAACTGCAGGCAGTGCTACTTATTTTTAACACAGTTGAGCGGGCAACTTTATCTTAAATGATTATGTGCTGAAATCTGCTGATGAAAACGCTATAAGATGGGCATGGGCAGGGGTGGCCGCCAGATGTGTTCTGCGTGACAGCTTTTTCTGAACCTGCTGGACAAAGTCCCCACTTGTTGCCCGCTCAGCCCCGGTCACAGCCCCACCTCGCCGGGGCTTGTCTTCAGTTCCTCACACTGCCACGCTCTTGACCCACTCATTGGCCTCTTTGTGGGGACCCTTCAGCCAGAAGGCCCTTCCCCTTTCCTGCCCAGCTCTGGCCCAGACCTGCCACATGGAGGCTGTTAGAGGTGGAATGTCTGAGGCCTCCAAATGCATGTGTTGAAACCTAATCCCCAGAGGGATGGTATTTGGCGATGGAGTTTCCCAGAAGTGGCTTGGTTTGTGCTGGCTGCTATAGCAAGTACAGTCATGGGTCGCCTAGTGAGATCTGTTTTGAGAAATGCATGCTCGGGCGATATCACTGTCGTGCAGACCTCACAGCATTCACTCACACAAACCCGGCTAGCACAGCCCGTGACACACCTCAGCCCTGTGCTGTAACCTGCTGTTCCCAGGCTACAAACCTGCAGAGCATGTCACTGCACCAGATACTGTGGGCCCCCTTGACAGTGGTGAGCTCTTGTGTATCTAAATACAGAAAAGGCATAAAAAATAACGTGCCAGCCGGGTGCGGTGGCTCACACTGTCATCCCAGCACTGTGGGAGGCCGAGGCGGTTGGATCACCTGAGGTCAGGAGTTCGAGACCAGCCTGGCCAACATGGTGAAACCCCGTCTAAACTAAAAATACAAAAATTAGCTGGGCATGGAGGCACATGCCTGTAATCCCAGCTTCTGAGGCTGAGGCAGGAGAATCGCTTGAACTGGGGAGGCGGAGGTTGCAGTGAGCCGAGATCACACCACTGCACTCCAGCCTGGGTGACAGAGCGAGACTCCATCTCAAAAAAAAAAAAAAAAAAATACGGTGTCATCATGTATGGGACTATCTATGGGACTTGTGGCACTTGACTGGACCATAAACTGCTTATAAACAACAGAAATTGATTTCTCAAAGTTCTGGAGGCTGGAGGTCCAAGATGGAGCACCGGCAGATCTGGTGTCTGGGAGAGGCCAGGCAGCTCTTTGGGGCCTCTTTCACAAGGGCACAAATCCCATTCCTGAGGGCTCCCCGCAACGACTTCATCACCTCCCAAGACCCCACATCCTGATACCCTCACCTTGGGAGTTAGGTTCAACCTATGCATTTGGGGGGACACACTCAGTCTCTAGCAGTTGGGTAGACCCAAGATTGCCCTCAGGAGCTCCTTTGGGAGGCGCTCTCTATTGGGTCCAGTGCCAAGAAAAAATATCTGACTTGTATTTTGTAGAGGCTATGTTATTAAAAAAATACATCTTTAGGTTGGGCACAGTGGCTCAAGCCTATAATCCCAGCACTTTGGGAGGCTGAGGCAGGTGGATCACCTGAGGTTGGGAGTTCGAGACCAGCCTGGCCAACATGGCAAAACCTCATCTCTACTAAAAAATACAAAAATCAGCTGGGTGTGGTGGCATACGCCTGTATTCCCAGCTACTCGGGAGGCTGAGGGAGGAGAATCCCTTGAACCTGGGGAGTGGAGGTTGCAGTGAGCCGAGATCGCGCCAGTGTACTCCAGCCTGGGCGACAGAGCAAGACTCCGTCTCAAAAAAAAAAAACTTTAAACATGAGAGAGCCTCTCAGCTTGACAGCACTCCTGCGGTCACAAACACAGACGCGGCCACGAAAAAGAACGAGATCATGTCCTTTGTAGCAACATGGATGCAGCTGGAGGCCACTGTCCTGAGTGAATCGATACAGGAGCTAAAAACCAAATACCCCATGCTCTCAGTTACAAGTGGGAGCTAAACATCGGCGCCCATGGACATAAAGACCACATGCTCTCAGTTACAAGTGGGAGCTAAACATCAGTGCCCATGGACATAAAAGACCGCAACAGTAAACACTGGGACCACCAGAGAGGAGAGGGAGGGAGCGGGGAAGGGCTGAGAAACCAACTGCCGGAGACTATGCTCAGTACCTGGGTGCAGGATCATTCGCACCCCAAACCTCAGCATCACGCAGTATACCCAGGAAACAGACCTGCACCTGCATCCCTGAATTAAAAATAAAAGTTGGAAAAGAAAAAAATAGACTGGGTGTGGTGGCTCATGCCTGTAATCCCAGAACTTTGGGAGGCCGAGGCGGGCGGATCACCTAAGGTCAGGAGTTTGAGACCAGCCTGGCCAACGTGGCAAAACCCCATATCTACTAAAACTACAAAAATTAGCCCAGAAGGGTGGCCGATGCCTGTAATCCCAGCTACTTGGGAGGCTGAGGCAGGAGAATTGCTTGAGCCCAGGAGGCGGAGGTTGCAGTGAGCCAAGATCACTCAACTGCCCTCCAGCCTGGGCAACACAGCAAGATTCTGTCTCAAAAAAAAAAAAAAAAAAGAAAGAAAGAAAAAGAAAACAAATACATAAATAGTCAGAATAAATAGCTCTACGAGTTAAAGGTGGTCCCTGTATCAAGAATGAGACATGCAGATGGAGAGCCTGCTGAAGGGAATGCTGTTTTCCATTAAAGATCTTATTATTTTGCTTTAAAAAATTGTTTGCATCATTAGATAGAAAATAAAGTTTAATTGAAAAAAATAAGATTTCTATAAGGAAAACACTAACATAGGGCCAGGCGTGGTGGCTCACGCCTGTAATCCCAGCACTTTGGGAGGCCAAGACGGGTGGATCATCTGAGGTCAGGAGTTCGAGACCAGCCTGGCAGACATGGTGAAACCTTGTCTCTACTAAAAATACAAAAATTAGCCAGGCATGGTGGCACATGCTTGTAATTCCGGCTACTCGGGAGGCTGAGGCAGGAGAATCGCCTGAACCTGGGAGGCGGAGGTTGCAGTGAGCCGAGATCGTGGCACTGCACTCCAGCCTGGGCAACAGAGTGAGACCCTGTATCAAAAAAAAAAAAAAGAAAGAAAGAAAAAACAAACATAAAAACGAATTTGAGGCCAGGTGCAGTGGCTCATGCCTGTAATCCCAGCACTTTGGAAGGCTGAAGCAGGTGGATCACCTAAGGTCAGGAGTTCGAGACCAGCCTGGCCAACGTGGCGAAACCCCATCTCTACTAAAAATACAAAAATTAGCCCAGTGTGGTGACGTACGCCTGTAATCCCAAGCTGCTCAGGATGCTGAGTCAGAAGAATCTCTTGAACCCAGGAGGCAGAGGTTGCAGTGAACCGAGATGGCGCTACTGCACTCCAGCTTGGGCAACAGAGCAAGACTCTGACTCAAAAAAAAAAAAAAAAAAAAGAACTGTTTGCATCATTAGATAAAAAATAAAGCTTAATTGAAAAACAGTATGATTTCTATCATATAAAAGCAAACATAGAAAATGAGTCGTATGGCAAACCACAGCCTTGCTCCCGACATGCCTCACGAGCCCCATATACCCACAGAGGCCAGGAGCAGCCAGACTCACTGGCTTTACAGTTTGGTTTTGTTTGTTTTAACTTTTTTGCAGAGAACGGGGTCTCCCTATGTTGCCCAGGCTGGTCTCGAACTCCTGGGCTCAAGCAATCCTCCCGCCTTGGCCTCGCAAAGTGCTGGGATTACAGACATAAGCCCCGTGCCTGACCGGCTTTATAGTCTTTTTTTTTTTTTTTTAGACGGAGTCTCACTCTCTCACCCAGGCTGGAGTGCAGTGGCGCAATCTAGGCTCACTGCAAGCTCCACCTCCCGGGTTCACACATTCTCCTGCCTCAGCCTCCCAAGTAGCTGGGACTACAGGCGCCCACAACCACGCCTAACTTTTTGTTAAATTAGCACACCATGCTAATTTTTTGTATTTTTTTTTTTTAGTAGAGACGGGGTTTCACCGTGTTAGCCAGGATGGTCTCGAACTCCTGACCTCGTGATCCGCCCGCCTCGGCCTCCCAAAGTGCTGGAATTACAGGCGTGAGCCACCGTGCCTGGCCGACTTTACAGTCTTAAACGGGTTGTTGTGCTCCCTTTTTCTTGGGTGGGGGGGTTTGCACACCTTCAGTTGAATTCGTGCAAGTTAGAAGAGATTCCACCATAGTGAAAAAGTGGTGACTCTACCTAAATGTCCATTAACTGAGAACACAGCTGGCTGAAGACAGCCACAGAATAGTCATATACTGGAGTAAAATGCAGTCACAGGCTGGGCGCGGTGGGTCACACCTGTACTGTCTGCACTTTGGGAGGCCGAGATGCCAGGAGTTCAAGACAGGCTGGGCAGCAGAGTGAGCCCTGTCTGATATAGCTTGGATATTGGTCCCTGCCCAAATCTCATGTTGGAATGTGATCCCTGGTGCTGGAGGTGGGACCTGATGGGAGGTGGAGGTCATGGGGGCGACTCCCTCAAGAATGGCTGGGGCCATCCCCTTGGCGACAACTGAGCTCCCTGCTCTGAGTTCACAGGAGAACTGGGTGTGTAGAAGTGTGTGGCACCCCCACCCCTCACTCTCTTGCTCCTGCTTTTGCCCTGTTGCGGCGCCTGCTCCCTGCTCGCCTCCCACCATGAGTGCGAGCTCCCAAGGCCTCCCCAGAAGCTGATGCCAGAGCCAAGCTTCCTGTGCAGCCTGCAGAACCGTGAGCCAATTAAAGCTCTTTTCTTTATAAATAACCCAGTCTCAGGTATTTCTTTATAGCAATATGAGAACAGTCTAATACACTGTCTCTACAAAGAAAATTACAGAATTAGCTGGGCATGGTGGAGCATGCCTGTAATACTAGCATCTTGGGAGGCCAAAGCAGGAGGATCACTTGAGCCCAGGAAGTTGAGGCTGCAGTGAGCCCTGATGGCACCACTGCACTCCAGCCCAGGTGACAGAGCAGACCCTGTCTCAAAAAAGTAAAATAAAATTAAACGTATTAGCATATGAATATCTCTACTTTATTTTGCTGTTTATTTTTCTTTTTTCAGCAGGTGAGTTGGTGCACACCCTATAGCCGATTCCAGCTGTGTGGTGCCGTCCTGCTGTTATGTGATTATTTACAGGAGAGTTCACTTGGTTCACATCAGGGGTCACTCATGATGGGCCCTTCTCTGGGTCTGTCAAATGCTAATCTCATGTGCAGACCATCACAGTGTCCTTTTCCGGCCCTAAAGCCCGCTGTGCTTCTCATATCCATTTCTTTCCCCCTTGACCATCACAGTGTCACACAAAGTCGTTTTCTGGCCCTAAAGCCCACTGTGCTTCTCCTATCCTTTCCTTTCCCCCTTGTCCTAACCTTCTGACAACACCTGACCATTTTCTTTTTTTGGAGAGAGGGTCTGCTCTGACTCCTAGACTGGAGTGCAGAGGCATGATCTTGGCTCACTGAAACCTCTGCCTCCTGGACTCAAGCAATCCTCCTGCCTTAGCCTTTCTCAAATAGCTAGGTCTACGCTACAGGGGTGTGCCACCACACATGGTTAATTTTTGGGTTTTTTTTGTTTTGTTTTGTTTTGTTTGAGATGGGGCCCCACTATATTGTCCAACCTGGTCTTGAACTCCTGGGCTCAAACATCCACCTGCCTCGGCCTCCCAAAGTGCTGGGATGACAGGCATGAGCCACCGCGCCTGCTGGGATGACGGCATGAGCCACCGCGCCTGCTGGGATGGCGGCATGAGCCACCGTGCCTGCTGGGATAATGGCATGAGCCACCGCGCCTGCTGGGATGACAGGCATGAGCCACCACGCCCAGCCTCCTGACCTTTTAATTATCTCCATAGTTTTACCTTTTCCAGGATGTCACTTGGTTGGAGTCACACAGTAGGCAGACTCTTCAGATCAGTGTCTTTCACTTGGTAATGTGCACCTAACGTTTCCTCACTATCGCTTCATGGCTTGATGGCTCACTCTTTTTCATTGCTGTATAATATTCCATTGCAAATGTACACTACAGTTTGTCTATTCATTCACCTACTGAGAGACACCTTGGTGGCTTCCAGTTTTTGACAATTACTAAAGCTGCTATAAACATTGGTGTGCAGGGTTTTGTGTAGACATAAGTTTTTAACCCTTTGGGTAAAGATCAAGGAGTGCAACTGCTGAATTATAAGGTAAGATGTTTAGTTTCTTTTTTCTTTCTTTCTTTTTTTTTTAATGAGACGGAATTTCACTCGTGCAGTGGCATGATCTCTGCTCATTGCAACCTCTGCCTCCTGGGTCCAAGCGATTCTCCAGCCTCAGCCTCCCGAGTAGCTGGGATTACAGGTGCCTGCCACCATGCCAGGCTAATTTTTGTATTTTTAGTAGAGATGGGGTTTTACCATGTTGGCCAGGCTGGTCTCAAACTCCTGACCTCAGGTGATCCGCCCCCACCTCGGCCTCTCAAAGTGCTGGGATTACAGGCGTGAGCCACCACGCCCGGCCAAGATGTTTACTTTCTAAGAAACCACCAAAGTGCCTTCCAAAGTGGCTACACCATTACAGTGTTCCCACCAGCAATGAAGGAGAGTGCCATGTCCCGCCAGCACCCAGTGTTGTCAGTGTTCTGGACTTCAGCCATTGTAAGCAGTGCTTAGCGATGTTTCATTGTTTGAATTTGTACTTTTCTCATGGCATGGCGTTCAGAACTTTCCATATGTGTATTTGCCATTTGTATATCTTCTTTGGTGAGGTGTCTAGATCTTTTGCCTATTTTTTGGTTAGGTTGTTCCCTTATTGTTGAGTTTTAAGAATTCTTTCGCCAGTTGTGGTGGCTCACACCCGTAATCTGAGCACTTTGGGAGGCCGAGGCAGGCAGATCACTTGAGCTCAGGAGTTTGAGACCAGCTTGGGCGACATGGTGAGACCTCTTCTCTACAAAATAAAAAAAGAGTACAAAAATTAGCCCGGCATGGTGACACACGCCTGTAGTACCCGCTACTCAGGAGGCTAAGGCGGGAGGATCACTTTAGCCCAGGGGACAGAGGTTGCAGTGAGCTGATGTGTGCTACTGTACTGCACTCCAGCCTGGGTGGTAGAGCAAGACCCTATTTAAAAAAAAAAAAAGGAAAAAAGGCTGGGCGCAGTGGCTCATGCCTGTAATCCCAGCACTTTGGGAGGCTGAGGCGGGCGGATTACTTGAGGTCAGGAGTTCGAGACCAGCCTGGCCAACATGATAAAACCCCATCTCTACTAAAAATACAAAAATTAGCCGGGTGTGGTGGCAGGCGCCTGTAATCCCAGCTACTCGGGAGGCCGAGGCAGGAGAATCACTTGAACCTGGGAAGTGGAGGTGTCAGTGGGCCAAGATCACGCCACTGCACTCCAGCCTGGGCAACAGCAAGACGAAAGAGAAAGAGAGAAAGGGAGAAACAGAGGAGAGAAAACAAAGGAAGGAAGGGAAAGAAAGAAAAGAGAGAAGGAAAGAAAGAGAGAGAGAAAGAAAGAGAGGAAAGAAAGAAAGAAATCCTTGTATATTTAGGACTCAAATCCTTTATTGATGTTTTGTACGATTTAAAGATTCCTTTGGTGGTGGGACGCAATACAGTGACACTCAGCTAGAGGAGAGGCAGAAGCCTGTGTATTGATGTTTTATAAGATCTAAAGATTCTTTTGGTGGTGGGACGCAATACAGTGACACTCAGCTAGAGGACAGGCAGAAGCCTGTGTGACTTACAGCTCTAACAAGAGGCCGCCGCCAGGCAGGGTCACACGGGGGATTGTGCCTCGGACGTCAGTGGACTGGACACAGCCCAGGAGAGAATCTGCAAGCTGAGGACATGTCCATAGACTTCCCCAACTGAAATGCAAGGAGAAAAAAGAGTAAAAATAACTGAACAGAATATCCTAGAACTACGGGACAATTATAGAAGGTAATTTACACACTCATAATGGCAATACCAGAAGAGGAGAGGGAGAAAGGGATAGAAGAAATATTTGAAGTAATAATGGCTTCTCATTTTTCAAAATTGGTGTCAGACACCAAACCACAGATCTAGGAAGCTTAGAGAACACTAAGTACAACAAATGCCAAAAAATAGGAACTTTGGCATGTCGTATTCAAACTGCAGGAAACCAGAGACAGAATATCTTGAAAGATGTCGGAGGGAAAGTACCTTCCTATAGAGGAACAAGAATACGGATCACACTGGACTTCCATCAAAAATCATGTGATCTGGGTACTGGAAGCTACATGTAAAGAAGAAATTCATGCTCACGCCTGTAATCCCAGCACTTTGGGAGGCCGAGGCGGGCGGATCACGAGGTCAGGAGATCGAGATCATCCTGGCTAACACGGTGAAACCCCATCTCTACTGAAAATACAAAAAAATTAGCCAGGCGTGGCAGTGGGTGCCTATAGTCTCAGCTACTCGGGAGGCTGAGGCAGGAGAATGGCGTGAACCCGGGAGGCGGAGCTTGCAGTGAGCCGAGATCGTACCACTGGCACTCCAGCCTGGGCGACAGAGACTCGGTCTCAAAAAACAAAACAAAACAAAAACCCAAAAGAAGAGGCACCTGAGCCGCTTGCTTGAGCCTGCTCCCACTCTGAAATGTCTTCAGTAAATCTGTGCTTTCCTTGCTTCTCCTGTTGCTTTCTCTTTCATGGCTTGGCTCTTTTGTTACTTTGTGCATTTTGTTAAAGCATCCCCCGCTAACTAAGACACCGCTCAGGGTCGGGCACAGTGGCTCACACCTATAATCCCAGCACTTTGAGAGGCCGAGGCAGGTGGGTCACCTGAGGTCGGGAGTTCAAGATCAGTCTGACCAACACGGAGACCCCATCTCTACCAAAAATACAAAAAAAAAATTAGCTGGGCGTGGTGGCACATGCCTATAATCCCGGCTACTCAGAAGGTTGAGGCAGGAGAATCACTTGAACCCGGGAGGCGAGGGTTGCGGTGAGCCGAGATCACGCCATTGCACTCCAGCCTCTGCCCAACAAGAGCGAAACTCCGTCTCAAAAAAAAAAAAAAAAAGAAAGAAAGAAAAAAAAAAGAGACACCGCTCAAACTTCTGGCCAAACACAAATCCTGAATGACTTTTAACATCCTTTATGGTAATTAAGGAACCCTGTGGTGCTGGGAGGCAGTTGCTCAAACAACCTCTGGGCATGGTCTGCTGGCAAGGGCATTTCATTTGCCGCCAGGGTGTGGACGGACATTTATTTACACAGTCATACCTGAGACAGAGTAGGGACGGGCTGGCTCGGTTAACCCCCCACTAGAGCATTCTCTCATGCCTTCCACGGATCACACACCCCACGCCACTACCTGGCTTGACACCAAACTCGCTAACCCTGAGACTTTGGTCATACAAGGAAAACAGCCGTTTATAGTGCTCTTCTGTGCTCTTGTAATATTTAACCAGGCCTTTTACTTAAAGAATTTCAGGAACTGGCCTTAAAAGATCCAGAATATCAACCAAGGTTGTAGAATGTCCCCACCTTGGAAAGGAATGCTGAGCAACAGATTTACAGCCTCGCTGCCCCAGCCAGCCAGCTAGCTGGCCCATGACTCAAAATAACCGTCGCAACCAGAAGTGCTGATCAGCCTGTCCCAGTCCTCGGAGGCCTTCCCCAGCCCAGCCTGCACACCCTACCCTGATATCAGTTTCCACCCTTTGCCTGACAAAAAGTCCTAACCAACTCCTTTCCAGGACTCAGTCAGGGACTCTCTCTCCCTTGGGCCGCCTCCCTTATGCCTGGACATAAGCTCCAATGAAGCCTTGTCTGGGAAAACTCTTTTGGCCCCATGTCAATTTCCATTGCATTGAGAGCCCAAGAACTCATGGTTGGTAACATATCCATTCCTGTGTCCAAATGGAAAGCCTTCTATTTTGTTTTGTATTTTATTTTATTTTTTGAGACAGGTTCTTGCTCTGTTACCCAGGCTGGAGTACAATGGCACAATGATGGCTCACTGCAGCCTCAATCTTCTGGGCTCAAGTGATTCTCCTGCATCAGCCTCCCAAGTAGCTGGATCCACAGGCACGTGCCACCACGCCTGGCTAATTTTTTTTTTTTTTTTTTAGCAGAGATGGGGTCTCACTATATTGCCCAGGCTGGTCTTAAATTCCTGGGCTCAAGCGGTCCTCCTGCCTCAGCCACCCAAAGTTCTAGGATTGCAGCCATGAACTACTACCACTGGCTGAAAGCAAGCTTTTTTTTTTTTTTTTTTTGAGATGGAGTCTCGCCCTGTTGCCCCAGGCTGGAGTGCAATGGCACCATCTCAGCTCACTGCAACCTCTGCCTCCCCGGTTCAACCAATTCTCCTGCCTCGGCCTCCCAGGTAGCTGGGATTACAGGCACGTGCCACCACACACAGCTAATTTTTTGTATCTTTAGTAGAGATGGGGTTTCACCATGTTGGCCAGGCTGGTCTCAAACTCCTGACCTCGTGCTCTGCACATCTCAGCCTCCCAAAGTGCTGGGATTATAGGCATGAGCCACCGTGCCAGGCAAAAGCAAGCTTTTAAAAAAAGTATTGATAACATGACGTGTGGTCACCATAACCATGGTCATGTAAAACAAAAATAAAATTCTGAGGCCCCCCAACCATCTGAATGGACTTCCTCCTCAGCCAGGGAACTCTGAAAATTTAACCTGAGAGACTGGTTCAGGCCATGATGGGAAGTGGGGATGGGATGTGCCTTATTCTACCTCTCCAGCATTAACATCAATGCAGACTTCAAGTCTGATAAGAAACATTTGACAACCCATTCTCTCTAAAGCCTGCTACCTGAAGGCTTCCTTTGAAAGTAAGAGCTTCAGTCTCTACAATCGTTGATCTTAACAGACGTTCCTTTCTATTGATCCCAGGTCTTTTTTTCTTTTTTTTTTTTGAGGCGGAGTCTCGCTCTGTCACCCAGGCTGGAGTGCAGTGGCGTGATCTCGGCTCACTGCAAGCTCCGCCTCCCGGGTTCGCCATTCTCCTGCCTCAGCCTCCCAAGTAGCTGAGACTACAGGCTCCCGCCACCACGCCCAGCTAATTTTTTGTATTTTTAGTAGAGATGGGGTTTCACCGTGTTAGCCAGGATGGTCTCGATCTCCCGACCTCTTGATTCGCCCACCTCAGCCTCCCAAAGTGCTGGGATTACAGGTGTGAGCCACCGCGCCCGGCCAGTCCCAGGTCTTTAAATAAACTCAACCAATTGTCAACCAGAAATTTTTTTTTTTTTTTTTTTTTTTGAGAGGGAGTCTCACTCTGTCGCCCAGGCTGGAATGCAGTGGCGTGATCTCGGCTCACTGCAAGCTCCGCCTCCTGGTTCACGCCATTCTCCTGCCTCAGCCTCCGAGTAGCTGGGACTACAGGCGCCAGGCTAATTTTTTTGTATTTTTAGTAGAGATGGGGTTTCACATGTTAGCCAGGATGGTCTCGATCTCCTGACCTTGTGATCCGCCCATCTCGGCCTCCCAAAGTGCTGGGATTACGGGCATGAGCCACCGTGTCTACTCTGTCAACCAGAAAATTTTTAAATCTACTTATAAGCTGGAAATCCCCCCAACCCCCTTCAAGTTGTCTCACATTTCTGGACAAAACCAATGTATTTTTTTTTTGAGACAGAGTCTCGCTCTGTCACCCAGGCTGGAGTGCAGTTGCGCGATCTTGGCTCACTGCAATCTCCTCCTCCTAGGTTCAAGTGATTCTCCTACCTCAGCCTCCTGAGTAGCTGGGACTACAGGTGCCCGCCATCATGCCTGGCTAATTTTTATATTTTTAGTAGAGACAGGGTTTCACCATATTGGCCAGGCTGGTTTTGAACTCCTGACCTTGTGATCCTCCTGCCTTGGCCTCCCAAAGTGCTGGGATTACAGGCATGAGCCACCATTCCTGGCAAAACCAATTTTTTTTTTTTGAGATGGAGTCTTGCTCTGTCGCCCAGGCTGGAGTCCAGTGGTGTGATCTCGACTCACTGCAACGTCTGCCTCCTGGGTTCAAGTGATTCTCCTGCCTTAGCCTCCTGAGTTGTCGGGATTACAAGCACACACCACCATGCCCAGCTAATTTTTGTATTTTTAGTAGAGACAGGGTTTTGCCACGTTGGCCAGGCTGGTCTTGAACTCCCAACCTCAGGTGATTCGCCCACCTTGGCCTCCCAAAGTGCTGGGATTACAAGTGTAAGCCACCATGCCCAGCCCAAAACCAATGTATTTCTTAAATGTATTTGATTGAAGTTTCACGTTTCCCTAAAATGTCTAAAACCAACCTGCACCCTGACCACCTTGGGCACATGTTCTCAGGACCTCCTGAGGCCTGTGTTGATACGGACAGGAGACAGGGAAATACTGGGTAGAAGAGGGCAGTTCCCTGGGAAAGCCCCCGCCCTCAAGCCTGGAAACCCACGGCCCTAAATGGGAACAGGCATTCCTGTTTTTGCACCCAAAAGTTGCCTTTTGGTCTGCCATGTCCCCCGTCCTGTACCCATATAAACCCCAAATCCCTGTCTCCATGAGGAGACAAACAGAAGAGCAGAAGGATGGCAGAATGGTGGGGCAGAGAGAAGGAGTGTCTGAACACCAAGAGGAGTTCAGCTGGGGGACGGTCAGAGGGGAGATCAGCTGCTGGACGGCCAAACTCCAAGGGAAGATCATCTTCCCACTCCATCCCCTCTCAGCTCCCCATCCATCCCACTGAGAGCCACCTCCACCACTCCATAAAACCCCCGCATTCATCCTTCAAGTCTGTGTGCGACTTGGTTCTTCCTGGATGCTGGATGAGGACCTGGGTACCAAGAGGGCACTGGCTGGTTAAGATTTAAGCCATCTGCAGATGGCAAGGCTAAAGAGTGCACTGTAACACATGCCCGCTTGGGCTTCGGGAGTCGCAGACACCCACCCCTGGATGCTGCTGTGGGGCTGGAGCCCAGGGGCACTCATCCCCGCTCCTGCACCTGCCCGTCTCTGTGCTCCCCCTCCTGTAAGGGGTTTGAACATGCATGGCGGCTCAACAGACAAGTCACACCCTTGTTGCACATCCTGCAAGAGGGGTCAGGGAACTCTCCCATTTCAGTGTCATGGGCCATGGTCACTGATAATTGGCTTAGAATAAATTTCTTTCAATATTTTACAGATTTTGACTCTTTTTGTTGACATTTTCCAAGGTTCACCGTCCTTTGAGGGCACACTGTGTTGCCACCATAACTCAGCTGGTCATGCCTCGAATGCTCTGGTGGAAGACCCGCTTGGTGTCAGTTCTCTCAGGTCCTCTCTTTTCTTTCTCAGTGAATGACTTTCTGGACACCATCTCCAGGACCCCGTCCACTTGCCTCCCCAGGTGGAACCCAGCTCTGGGTCTCTCCAACCACTTGTTCCCTAGGGGAGCCTCCCTGGCCACCACCCAGCTGGGGGCCACCCCTCCAGGGCTCTCTCCCTGGAAAGGCTGACCTAGGGGTACAGGCTGGGGTGGCAGCCCACCCAATCGAAGCGAGGCATCCCATTCGTCTCCTGGACTGGGCATCTTTTCAGTAGACTCGTAGTGTCTAGAAGGTCTTTACTATCTGAGTCATCAAGGAAAAAGCTTTGCTCTTGGACTGATAATTAGTGGCAAGTGACATGTGCTCATAAAAACACCAAATTAGCTCATCTGCCCACACAGTGCCTTTCACCCTTGGGTGGTCTCAGAAGCACCTGCAGAGCTAAAAAGGAGCTCAGCGCCAGGCTCAGTGAGGTAGGACAGGGCTGGGCCTAGGTGTGTGTATCCAGTTCCCTGGGTGACTCTAAAATGACCAGTGTGAGAACCACAGGCACTGGCCATCTGCACAACAGCTGGGAACGGGCAACCAGATCTTTGAAAAGCCCAAGAAACCACAGGCAAAAATGTACTCACCACAATGACATTTTCAGAGTTTCGATCAGAGCCCTCTGTCGAGAAGGAGGGTCCTGGAGCCCACGGGCCTGGAGGCTGGTCAGCTCTCTTCCATGCCTCCCCTGCTCTTTCCTCTTAGTGCTTGGGACCAAAGGTGTGATAGGATGGGGGGGGTGGGGGCTGGGGATGGGGAAGGGACCATGGATGATGGATCAAAGTGTGGAAGGACGAAATCCACTGCAGAGAGAGAGATTCATCAGGCGCTCCTAAGAGCCAAGGGCGAGAGACTCACAGAGTAGGATGAGCAAAGGGTAGTAAGGGCAGTTGTTGGTGCTGCCTTTGTAGGTTCCTGGGGCTCTCACCCAGCACTGCTTGTCACCAACTCTGTAACCTCTGACTTCTCCTTAGTTTGTTAACTTCACAATCTATAAGTTTGGGAAAGGACAGGAGAATTTATTTCTTACAAAGGGTTACAGCCTTTAAGGTGATGAGACGGGAGAGTTCCCTGGAGCCTTTTGCTGGACTTGTGATAGGGGTGTGGCTTGCTTACCTGGCACCACGCTCTAACTCCTTGTGGGAGGGGAAGCACGCAGGCGAGTGGGTGCGAGGGCCAGGACAAGCGCTTTTGGACTCCAGCCTCGTGGTACCATCTAGGGGTGTGTTACAATTAATTCTCTTTATTTTATTTTATTATTTTTTTGAGACAGAGTCTCTCACTGTCACCCGGGCTGGAGGGCAATGGCGCGATCTTGGCTCACTGCAACCTCCACCTCCTGGGTTCATGCAATTCTCCTGCCTCAGCCTCCCAAGTAGCTGGGATTACAGGTGCACACCACCACACCCAGCTAAATTTTTGTATTTTTAGTAGAGATGGGGTTTCATTATGTTGGCCAGACTGGTCTTGAACTCCTGACCTCTTGATCCGCTCAACTCAGCCTCCCAAAGTGCTGGGATTATAGGCGTGAGCCACCGCGCCCGGCCAATGTTAGCTATTATTAATGGACAATTATGACTAATTATGAAGTACTTTCTTTTAAAAGCCTAGATCTCTAAGTAATGTCTTCCTCCCTCAGTCCTCAGCACCCGCCTGGTCGGGCATTGGGTCTCACCAAGCTACAGAGCCCTAGGTGCGCTGTGTTAGGTCACCAAGACTTTAGTCTGGTGATACTGACCCCAGGGCCCCAAATCACCATGTCTGCAAGTCTGGAACCCAAAGGCCTCCGTTCCCCGGGGTGGTGCAGGGAAGCCGCAGGGAGTGCGTCAGCTGTGGAGAGCGTAGGGGTGGGAAGTGAAGGCTGTGGGGTCCCCCAGGGGGTCAGGTTCGTCCTCGAAGGCAGGCCCTCCACAGGAAGACCTGGTTGGGGTGGGATCGGACACGCGGCCCAGACCCAGGCACCTGTGGATGGACGGCCGGGCATGTGGCCATCGGCTGGGGGCCTCTGCAGGCCGCGCCACCAGAGTGGGCACTCAGGGTCCGCAAGGGTCTGGGGCGCCCCCAGAGAAGCCCGCCGCCCCAGGCCGGTGCGGAGTTGACTGGGTCCCCCCGGCCCCGTGTCTGTCAGCTCCCGCGCGGCCCCTGGGAAGGGACGCGGATCGGATGCGGGCTCCGGGCCCTGCAGGCAGTTGAGAGCGCGGTTCCCTTGGGTATCCGGGGTCCGGGGTCACTTTCGCGCCTCCGCACTATTCCCACGCCCGCGCGCACTCTCGTGGCCATCCGCGTTGCGAGAGTGTCGCGCCCGGAGGTCAGGGGCGTGGAGCCCGGGCCCCCGAGTCTCCCCTGCGTGCGGCGGGGCGCGGGGCGCGGGGCGCGGGGCGCAGGGCTGAGGCGGAGCACAATGGTTGAATGAATGAATGAACGAACGAATGAACGGCGCTGCAGAGCCCTCTCCAGGCGGAATGAAAGTGCAAACCCAGCGTTTCGGGCGGCAGAGTGGCGGGGGCCACCTGGCGCGGCCGCGCGGCCAGGGTCCGGTTTCGCTTCCTCCCAGCCCGGGGGCGGGGCCTGCGTGGCTGTCCCCGCCCCGGTCCGCCCCCGGCCAGCCCCCGGCGCCGCGCGGAACTCGCGGGTTCGGAGCCGCCCGCTGAGGTCAGAAGGAGGCGTCTGCGCTGATCGGGTCCGCCGCGCGCCAGAGCCAGAGTCGCAGCCGAGGGGAGCCGGGGCCGGAGCCCGAGCCCGAGCCGAGCCGGAGCCCGAGCGAGCGGCGGAGACCGTGCCCCCGCCTCGGCCCCGCGCCGCCGCGGCCAGGCCCGGCATGGAGGAGGAGTGCCGGGTGCTCTCCATACAGAGCCACGTCATCCGCGGCTACGTGGGCAACCGGGCGGCCACGTTCCCGCTGCAGGTACGCATCCGCCCGCAGCCCGGGCTTACGTAACCCGAGCCCGTGACCTTGGCGGGGCTGCCCGAGACGAGCCTCAGTTCCCCGAGGGAGGCTCGGGAGCTGCGGGCAGAGCCTGGCGCGGGCGCCCTGGAGGCAGGCGCGGGATGAGCCTCCCGCTCTGCTTGGCTTGCGGGGGCGGAAGCGGAGGGCTGAGCGCTCTGCGGGCCCCTGCGGGTGGGACGGGTCCGGCGTCGGGGTACGCGGGTAGGAGGGAGCCCTGTGCACCAGCTATGGCGCAGCCGCTCGTCCTCGCCCCTTCCCGCCGACCGGGCCAACTGCCGCGGGGGCGGGCGGGCGGTGCGGCTCCCGGAGGCGAGGAAATGTCGCAGAGCCCCGAGGAGTCCCGGAGCAGTCACGCGAGCCGGGACCTTGCCCCGCTGGAACGCAGAAGCGGCCGTGGAGCTCGAGACGCTCGCGCGCTCACCTCCTGGGCCCCTGTGCGTGGGGAAGTCAGGAAGAAGACGCCGAGTGAGGTCACGGTGCCCACGAGGGTGGATTCCCCTCGGCCTGACCACGCCAGGAGGTGGCCGAAGGGAAGAGGGTGGGGCAGGGGCTGCTCTGCACCCTCTAGCAGAGCGGCATCCCTGCAGGTGTTTGCTCTGACGAGGAGAAGCCCCAGAGAGCAGTTCGGGACTGTGCGGATTGGCTTTAGGGAGCCAGCTTTTAAAACGCGTTGGCCCACGGCCTCCTGGTTGCAGCTAAGTGGCCCGTGGAGGGGTAGGAGAGGCCTGGGTGCAGTGGCGTGGGTGTCACGCAGGGCCGAGGCAGAACCAGGACGACGGGCACTTCCTGGCCTTGTCGAGTCAGCAGGAGGGCTGGGGGTGCCCTGCCGGGTCGTGCTCTCCTGTGCTGCCCACCTGCGGCCTGGTCACTGGGGACGGGAGCAGGTATGCCTGGTCCCTGTGCTGGGCCCCACGGGATGTAAAGAAGGGCCACCTGGGCACGGCGGGGCCTGCGGTGCGGGCTGGCCTGGGAGGAGGACAGGAAGAGGGGAGCAGAGCTTCAGTGGAATTTGAGGGCTGACCTAGGCGTGCCCCCAGGAGGACCAAGCTGAGCAGAGTTGAGCGTGGAAAGGCAGGGGGTTCGAGTCCGAAGTAAGTGGAGGTCCTGTTGGGAAGGATGCGGTGCTTCACAGGTGGTCTTACTTGAGACCCTGTTCCATCCAGCTGCAGGCAGACCCTGCCTGGGACAGTCAGGGTGCACCGGTTCTGTGGCTCCGGCTCTTAAGCACTGCTCTGGACCACTCCTAGCTTGAGGGGGTTGGGGGAGGTCACCACAGGCTGGCGGATTGCTTGGGCAGAGTCAGAGGTAGGATTGGGCTTGGGAAGAAAGGTGCAGGGTGCCTGAAGCAGGGGCAGCCAGGCAGTGTGGAACCAGGGGGCTCTGAGGACAGCGTCCACTCTCTTGGCAGAAGTGTGCAGGTCCTGCTGTGTCTGTCCCGTCCCTCCTCCCATCCACCTCCTACTTCATTGGGCAAACTGTTTCCTTCTTTGGCTCACTCGGGATCCCCCAGCAATGTCCTTTGTTCTCGAACTCCCAGTGACTCGAGGGGTGTCCTCTGATTGCTCACCTCAGGTGGAGCCTCGAAAGGATGGCGCTGCTGTTCCTACCTCGGGTCTCCCCAGTGCACGGCATCCTTACCTGTGGGCTCCACAGGGTTCCATGCAGGCATTTTGCTCCCATACCCCGATGTCCAAGCCCGGCTGGACAAGGAGAAGCAATGTGATGACCGAGGGGCTGAGATGGCTGGAGACCCAGCGAGCCTGGACCAGCCTTAGTGGGCACAGGAGGGAATGGGGGACAGAGCCTGGAAATGGCCTTGGGGCCAGTGTTTGCCGCTTCTAGCTGCAGTTCCAAGGGGACGTGTCCCCAAAGTCTAGAGCTGCTCTTGCAAGAGTTTGTTCTTGATTTTGATCATCACATGTGGCTTAGGACTCCAAAGCCTTGTTCACATAGCTGAATGTGAGGAAAGAAAACTTAGAAACTGGCAGAACATAGCCTCTGGCTGGGCCCCAGAGATTTGCCTCAAGGCTACTTGGAATGAGACTGGAGAATGCCTCAGGGGTGTGGCATGTAGCAGGGCGGCTGGAGAGGCGCCTTATGGGGACTGACCCAGGTGTCTGGGGGTCCCACCTCAAAGCAGGTGTCTCCACATCTTGGAATTCCAGCTGAGGGACCTGGCCCTGGTTTCTGAGCCTTCCGGAGTCTCACCTGCAAACTAGGCACAATACCTGTTTGCAAGATAGCACCAGGGCTCCTTGTGCCCTTCATGCCAGGCTCAGGGTACACCTATTGCCAGGGAGCTCCCACTGATTCCTTGTGAGTGTAGCACAGATTTGTTGCGACTGGACCATCTGCACGTCTGGGCTTCAGAGCTGTTCTCCCCAGCTGTTTTCTGCCAGGTCCTGTCAGAGGCAGCCACCCTCCCTGGGCAGAGCAAAACCTTGAGCCTGTGTTTGGATTTTGTTTCTGGGCCTAAGCCTAAGGTACATATTAGTGGTGGGGAACTAAAGGAGGGAACATGTTGGCATGACCAGTACTGGCAGGAGGTGCAGTGTGTCAGGCAGCATGATTGGGGTTTGCAGATAGAACGCAGAGGGCAAGGGCAGGCTTGAGGTTTGGGGGTGCATGGAGGAGAGGAGCTGGGGGGGCTGCCCAAGTCAAGCACAGACCTGCCCAAGACAGGCCATGGGATGCACCCTGGGGTGGGGCACTTCCCCGCTGCTCTGGCTTGGATTCTAGACAGGAAGGAGTGGAGGGAACTAGTGGCTGCGGCCATCTGCCCTTCCACATTGCTAGGACTGTTTCCTCTTGGGTGTAGGAAACCTCAGGTTCTTCCAGGGCTGGGAGGTTTGGCTCTTTGGAGCCCCAGGTGTGTATGTGTGGAAAGCCTTCCTGGCTATCAGTTCAGCAGCTCACATGTTTCTGTAGGCCTCACTGCATGGGGGAGATCCTGGGGCCCTCAGGGCAGCCTCCCAACCCCTTTTGCTCTATTGCTTCCGTAACCCTAAGGTACACAGCTGTAGGGTTATGTATGAGTTTGCTGGATTGAAAATACCATATGCAGCCTTAGGGTCATGTAGGAGTTTGCCCGGACTGCCAAAACAAAGTACCACAAACCAGGTTGCTCATTGTAGCAGAAATTCACCTCTCATAGTCTGGGGGCCAGAAGTCTGAGACCAGGGTGTGGGCAGGGCCATGCTCCCTCCATACAAGGGTCCTTCCCGGCCTCTTCCAGCTCTCGGTGGCCCCAGGCTTCTGGGGCTCACGGCCGAATCACTCCAGTCTCTGTCTCTGTCCTCACGTGGCCTCCGCCCAGTGTGCTCTCTTAAAAGTCCACTTAACATGGGATTCAGGCCCACCTGGATAATCTGGCATGATCTCATCTTGGAATCTTACATCTGCAAAGATACTTTTTCTTTCTTTCTTTTTTTTGAGACGGAGTCTTGCTGTGTTGCCCAGGCAGAAGTGCAGTGGCGCGATCTCGGCTCACTGCAAGCTCTGCCTCCCGGGTTCATGCCATTCTCCTGCCTTAGCCTCCTGAGTAGCTGGGACCACAGGCGCCCGCCACCACGCCTGGCTAATTTTTTTGTATTTTTAGTAGAGACGGGGTTTCACCGTGTTAGCCAGGATGGTCTCAATCTCCTGACCTCGTGATCCGCCCACCTCGGCCTCCCAAAGTACTGGGATTACAGGCATGGGGCCACCACGCCTGGCCTTCTTTTTCTTTTTCTTTCTTTTTTTTTTTTTTGAGACGAGGGTCTCACTCTGTCGCTCAGGCTGAAGTACAATGGAGCGATCTAGGCTCACTGCAACCTCCCCCTTCCAGGTACAAGCAATTCTCCTGCCTCAGCCTCCTGAGTAGCTGGGATTACAAGTATGCACCACCACACCTGACTAATTTTTCTGTATTTCTGTTTAGTAGAGATGGGGTTTCACTATGTTGGCCAGGCTGGTCTTGAGCTCCTGACCTCAGGTGATCTGCCTGCCTCGGCCTCCCAAAGTGCTGGGATTACAGGCGTGAGCCACCGTGCCCGGCCCAAAGATCCTTTTTCCAAATAGAGTCCCCTTCACAGGTTTCAGTTAAACATATCCTTCGAGGGTCCAGCATTCAATCTGGAAGGAGCCTTCAGAGAAATTTGAAAGTGGCATAAACCAAGGGGTGAATTAAAGGCCCAGAAGTTGATGACGTCAAGACGTCCTTTTTGGAAGTGAGGGGAGCAGCACAGCTGTGAGTCTCCAAACTGGGCTGTGCAGAGATTGTCCCAAGCACGTCTGAGGCCAGTAGCTGCCCTGTGGGGAGAGGCAAGCCTGTCCTGTCACTGTGCATCCCGTCCAGATGGACAGGTAGTAGATTCCCGCTGGCTGGGTGATATCCGTGTCCTTCATCTGTCAGCCTCTGGAGCCGCCGAGGCTGGGTGCCAGGCACTGCCGCCTGGGACACATGTGACCTCCGTGCTGCAGGACCACAGTGCAGGTGCGCTTTCACAGGGCCGCTCCTAGGGAGGAGGTTGTGGACATCAGACATTCCATGATTGGATTCCATGGCTTTGAGAATCTCACTTGGGGCCTTAGCTCGAGACCCATTTAAATACCACATCGCAGAGACCAGAAGGCAAGACCATGGGACTCCCTGCAGCCCCCACCAGAAGACCCTGTGAGGTGGCTGGCTCCATCTGGGGCCTGCAGGCAGCCGCATTCTTTCATTCTCGTGGTCCGTCGGTGCGGAGCAGACCTGAGACACCTGAGGGGGCTTGGCGGAGGTTGTATTTCTCTGTCTAGGGGCCTCAATGCCATGCCCGTTAGGCAGGTGGACTGTGGCTCAAGCGCCCCACAGGAAGAGGCAGGGGGCTCCCTGCCCTGGAACCCTGGATGTCAGCACCTGACTCCTACCTGCTGTGACATTGGCAAAAGTAGCTGTGGCAGAGGCCGAGGGTCCCACCTGCTTACTGGGCCCCGCTTCTCCGGACAGGAGCAGAAGCTGCAGAGCTTTGGGACCTCAGCACTTGAGCAGCATGTGGACGCGAGCAGCGAGTAACCCCGGGCTCCCAGAGACGCGTGACGGGGTCCCCAGGGGGTTGCTTGAGGGCCCTCAAGTCAGGAGCTGATTTCTATCCTCAAATATTTAAGCATCCCCAAGCCCAGGTGCGGTGGCTCACACCTATAATCCCAGTACTTTAGGAGGCCGAGATGGGGGGATCACTTGAGCCTGGGAGTTTGAGACCACCGTGGGCAACATAGCAAGACTCCAGCTCTACAAGAAAAAAAAAAAAAAGCTGGCTATGTGACTCACATCTGTAGTCCCACCTACTTGGGAAGGTGAAGTGGGAGGATCACCTGATCCCAGGAGGTGGAGGATGCAGTGACCTGTGATGGTGCCACTGCACTCCAGCCTGGGTGACAGAGTGAGACCCTGTCTCAAAAAAAAAAAAAAGTAAAAAATAAACATGTATGGAAGTACAATGTATTTTTAACCAGAAAGTTGACAGAGAATACCGATGCACTAGGTAGACCCTGTTTTTAAAAAAAAAAAATCCCCTGCTCTGCAAAGTGGCCTCTTCTTCAGAGATGTGGCATCACTGGAGGGTTCTCTTGGGGAAATGGTTAAAACACCTGGTGTTGGCTGGGTGCAGTGGCTCACGCCTGTAATCCCAGCACTTTGGGAGGCTGAGGCAGGCGGATCACAAGATCAGGAGATCGAGACCAGTCTGGCTAACACGGTAAAACCCCGTCTCTACTAAAATTACAAAAAATTAGCCAGGCGTGGTGGTGGGCGACTGTAGTCTCAGCTGCTTGGGAGGCTGAGGCAGGAGAATGGTGTGAACCCAGGAGGCGGAGCTTGCAGTGAGCCGAGATCGCGCCACTGCACTCCAGCACGGGCGACAGAGCAAGACTCTCGTCTCAAAACAAAACAAAACACCTGGTGTTTTGAAAAATCTTTACATTTTTTCTTAGAATTCCTAGGATAGAAAGAGTCTTCTTTGCCTTCAGAACTGCACTATAAGATCCTGGAAGAATACCACCCTGCCTTTTAAAAGACATCATTTTTGCCTTAACATTTTTCAAGGTGACATGCATTTGCAAACAGTACAAAAAAGCCAGCGCTGGGCCAGGCACGGTGGCTCACGCCTATAATCCCAGCACTTTGGGAGGCTGAGGTGGGTGGATCACCTGAGGTCAGGAGTTCGAGACCAGCCTGGCCAACATGGTGAAGCTCCATCTCTACTAAAAATACAAAAAATTAGCCGGGCGTGGTGGCACACTACTGTAATCCCAGCTACTCAGGAGGGTGAGGAAGGAGATTGCTTAAACCCAGGAAGTGGAGGTTGCAGTGAGCCAAGATTGCACCACTGCACTCCAGCCCCTGCAACAGAGCAAGACTCAGGCTCAAAACAAAAAAAAAAGAAAAGGAAAGGAAAAAGAGCCAGTGGTGAAAAGTGTGCCTCCTTCCTTCCTCCGGTGGCCCGCACTAACTTCCTTAGAGGTGATGCTGATGCTGTATGTTGGAGACGCTTCTGAGTGTCCTCGGAACGTTCCCACGTGCTCTCCAGGCCATGCTGGGCAGCTGGCTTTCCTCCCGTCTAGCTGGGATTCTCTCTCTCTCTCTCTCTCTCTCTCTGGCCTCTGCCAGTCCCTGGGTCTGAGCCAGAATGTGTCCCAATCCAGGAAACAGGTGTTGTTTCTGGTATTTCTTCTTTTTCTTTCATCTTTCTCCAAGAAGGAAGAAAATTGGCTAGTTTTTTGCTTTTCTGACTCCCTTAGTTTGGGACTGAGGTTTCTGTTATTCTTGTTTGGCTGTCATGGAGAAAAACAAGAACTTATCGGTCCCGTTTTCCATTTTTTCTTTTTCTTTTTTTTTTTTTTTTTTTTGAGACGGAGTCTCACTCTGTCACCCAGGCTGGAGTGCAGTGGCGTGATCTTGGCTCACTGCAGCCTCCTCCTCCTCCCAGGTTCACGCCATTCTCCTGCCTCAGCCTCCCAGGTAGCTGGGACTACAGGCGCCCGCCACCACACCAGGCAAATTTTTCTGTATTTTTAGTAGAGACAGGGTTTCACCATGTTAGCCAGGATGGTCTCGATATCCTGACCTCGGGATCTGCCCGCCTCGGCCTTCCAAAGTGCTGGGATTACGGCTGAGCCACCGCGCCCGGCCAATTTTTGTATTTTGGTAGAGACGGGGTTTCACCATGTTGGCCAGGCTGGTCTTGAACTCCTGACCTCAGGCAATCCACCCACCTCAGCCTCCCAAAGTGTTGGGATTACAGGCATGAGCCACTGCACCCAGCCTATTGGTCCCATTTTCTGATCTATTTTTCCCTCTTGCCTCTGGCTCTAGCCCACATCGGTGCATGTGTGTGTGTGTATGTGGGTGTGCATGTGTGTACGTGGTGTGTTTGTGTACACTGTGTGTGTATGTGGGTGTGCATGTGTGTACATGGTGTGTGTGTATGTGGGTGTGCTTGTGTGTACATGGCATGCATGTGTGCATGTGGGATGCATGTGTATGGGGCATGTGTGCATGGCGTGTGTGCACATGTCTGGGCATGCATGCGTGTGTCATGGGCATGCATGTGTGTGTATGCGGTGTGTTGCTCTGCAGGCCCCAGTGTTGGCCGGCCCCCCCGTCTTTCCTGTAAGTGACTTCCTTCCTAGGAGGCTTGGTGTGACTGGCATTCCCTGGAAAGGGAGGGGCGGATCCGCAGAACGGGCAGCTTCGGGGACACAGGGGCTGCTGATTGGCATTGTGGCTTGTTGGCCTTGGTGTCTGCGGGTGCACACCCACACAGAGCTTTTGAAATGGAATCCTGCGTGCCCAGTTCACAGAGTGAGTGACGCTGAGGAATAAGAACAGAGGGAACTTCTCAAGGAGAAAGGAAGAAAGGAGTTGTCAAAGATGGGCTGAGCAAAAAACCGTGCAATCAGCCGAGGAGGGGCCGGCAGCGCCTCCCTTCCTGCCCACAGAGCAGCCGCCTTGTGCCCATCTATTCCCCGGCTCTGCATGGGGCCTCTGTTTTAAAGGGTTCTGTGGCCAAGACAAGCCTGCCAGCCCCTGTCCCTGTCCTTGGCCACTCCTCCGGCAGCTTTCCCCATTCCTGAAGCAGGTGGCTAGCCTGCTTAGCCTCTTGTCCCATCTCCTTACCTGTGACAGTCACCAAGCCTCTGGGAATGTGGTCACCCTAGGACAGCTAAACGAGGAAGCTGTGCAGTGCACACAGGTTTGGCTGACCCCAAGGGCCAGTTGCTGTGCATGGGAGCGAGTTCCAAGGGGTGGGAGGGAGCCAGCACTAGGTGGAGCTCTGCCAGCCGGGGCACAGGGAGGAACAGCATCCAGGAGGAGGGTGCAGCGGGTGTGAGGCCCTGTGGAGCAGACTCTGGAGCTAGAATAAGGTGGCATTTTTGCTGCACGCTGTGGGGGTGGACGGGGCCCGAGGTCACACCAGGGAGCCCATATTGGGTCAGGAATGCTGCTTTGGCAATCCCTGGACTCAGCCCCCAGCTGTCTGGCCATCTGGGCACTTCTGAGCCAGCCATGACCTCTGCCTTCCCTTAGCACTTTGCAGTGAGCCCAGCACCTGGCAGCCCCTGCCCAGCTGGTGCACGGTCCCTCTGCGGCACTGTGAGCCTGGAAGTAGGGAGCTGGGTGTCCATGTGCTCTGAGCAGGGCTGGGGGCCCAGGCGATGGACCCTGGAGCTGTGAAGGCTGAGGCAGGGGTGGGTCAGGGATGAGGGGAGACTGCTCTGGGGGGCTCGGGGCCATTTCCACCAGAAGTTCCCCCTGGGAGTTTGTAGGACAAAGGACATGGTTGATGTGGATCATAGGGCTGACCAGTGGCAGGCGGTGGGAGGGACGCGGGGTGCTTGTGCCCCAGGTTGATCAGGGTGAAGCAGTCACATGATCTCTCCTGTCCTCTTTCCTCATTCTGGTTTCCTAAAGTGGTCAGAGGTCTCTGCAAAATAAGCTAAAGGGAGGGTTCTGCTGGGTGGGTGGCTTCGGCTTCTGTGCAGCGCTCACCCTGCTCTCCCCTGGAACGCCTGGAACTAGGGTGGTCAGGCTGGGGTGGAGGAGCTCCCCTGGAATGTTCCAGAGCTTCCCCCACTCCTGCCGTTCTGAGTCACCCTGCCTCCCCGGAGGAGGAGGAGGATCAGCTGAGCCGCCGCGCTCACGTAGTGTCTGGCTGTCTGCCTGTCTGCCTCGCTGTGAGCAGAGTGGGATGCTGCCGATAAGGCGCGCACGTGGGCCCTGGGAGGAGCCCGAGGCAGCCACTCCCGCACGTGGGCAGGAGGAGGGCTGCTCACACCACCGGCCGAGGGAGGAGGACTGCGGGCTGCGCCTGGGCAGGGGATGAGCTTGTGTCGCGGGCGGCAGGGGGAAGGGAGTCGGAGAGCTCCTGCGGTCCAGCCGGATGACTGATGAGGTTGAAAGCACTTCCGCTGCGGCCCCCGCAGGAAGTTCCCAGGAGGAAGTTGCGACCCTTTCTAAGCCATCCCACTGGCCTGGACTCTGCTGGGATTATTTTGACCCCCCAGGGCAGAGTGTAGCCATCTGACTGGCTTTCTCTCTCGGCAGGAGACGGGGCGCACGCCTGCAGGTGGGGGAGCCCCAATACGTCACACGGATGAGCGGGGCAAAGCCCAGCCCCCCACCCCGCACCCGCCCGCCCGCAATCCTGCCCCCTGGCTGCGGCCTCCGCGGCTCTTCCCACCCCGGCTCCGCTGGGTGCTTGGCGCTTGTTTACGGAGTTACACCTTGCGGTAGAGGCTGAGCAGGAGCTTGTCCTTCAGACTTCCCAGCGGAGACAGCCAGGCTGTCCTGTGGCAGCAGTGGGTTTGTCAGAGGCCGGGGGCTTTGGCCAGGGCCGGCAGAGAGCCCCAGTCCTGAAGAACCCTCGTTCTTCGCGTGCTGTCGCGGGGGCTCCGTAGGCACGGTTGCAGCAGGGTCTTGGAGGCCGAAAGAAGGACGGTCTGAGCTGAGAGAGGGGAGTTGGCCAGGCACAGGGGTTTCAGAGCTTTACAGGATTCAGAAGGTGCCCGGGGTTCTGCAGCCCAGTGAGGAGTTCACAGAGTGGTGGGCGACCCAGCAGCCAGGGGCATCAGCCGTGGGAGTGGGACGCTCCGGGAGTCTGAGCTGCATCCTGTGGGCGCAGCAGACGCTCAAGGGCTGGGTTTAGAGGGGTACGTCTGGAGGTGCGGGTGGGGAATGCACATGAGGGGAGCTAGGAGCAGAACAGTAGCACGGGCCGAGCACGATGGCTCACGCCTTGTTATTGCACCACTTTGGGAGGCTGAGGTGGGAGGATCGCTTGAGCCCCGGAGTTCAAGACCAGCCTGGGCAATATAGGCAATATTTCTCCACAAAAAATAAAACATAAAAAATTAACCAGGCATGGTGACACATGCCTGTAGTCCCAGCTACTCAGGAGGCTAAGGCAGGAGAATCAATTGAGCCCAGGAGGGAGAGGTTGCAGCGAGCTGAGATTGTGCCGCTGGACTCCAGCCTGGGCAACAGCATGAGATCCTGTCTCAAAAAAAGAAAACCAAAACAAAACAAAAAAAACAAAAAACAAAAAATGGTAGCACGGCGGCCTAATAAGACCATCCCGAGAAGGGGGATGAGGTGATAGTCCACAGGCCTCAGTGGACCGTCACAGCAGGTATGGACATCAGAGAGTCTTGCTCATATCTGATTGATTGATTGATTGATTGATTGATTTGGTTTGATTTGAATTTTTTTGAGGCAGAGTCTCTCTCTGTCACCCAGGCTAGTTGCAGTCTTGGCTCACTGCAACCTCCGCCTCCCAGGTTCAAGTGATTCTCCTGCCTTAGCCTCCTGAGTAGCTGGGACTACAGGCACGAGCCACTACACCCGGCCAATTTTTGTATTTTTAGTAGAGACGGGGTTTTGCCATGTTGTCCAGGCTGGTCTCGAACTCCTGACCTCAGGTGATCCTCCCACCTCGGCCTCCCAAAGTGCTGGGATTACAGGCGTGAGCCACTGTGCCCAGCCCTCATATCTGATTTAGAGTATGTACTGCCAAGCTCCGTGGTGTGAATACTTCCACTATAGCTGAACGTAAACTACCAACCTGAGCAGGAAAGAGCTGTGCAGCAGCCTCTGTCATGTAGCGTTCTTCCCTCCAGACACAATAGACACAAATAGCTGAGTAGACAACAGATAGTGTAAAATGCTAGTAAACTAGGAAGTGGTGAGGCTACAATATATATTATGTTTACTTTTAATATAGTTTATGTAGTCTGGGTGCAGTGGCTCATACCTGTAGTCCCAGCACTTTGGGAGGCTAAGGGAGGAGAATTGATTGAGCTTAGGAGTTCAGGACTAGCCTGGACAACATAGTGAGACTCTGTCTCAACAAAAAAATATAAAAATTAGCCAGGTGTGGCAGCACGCACCTGTAGTCCTAGCTACTCAGGAGGCTGAAGAGGGTGGATCCCTTGATCCCAGGAGTTCAAGGCTGTAGTGAGCTATGATTGTGCCACTGCACTCCAGCCTGGGTGATAGAGTGAGACCCTGTCTCAAAAAATAATAATATAATTTACATAATTGTAAGTTTTATGACTCAATTTTTTTTTTAAATAGAGATGGAATCTTGCTATGTTGCTCAGTCTGGTCTTGAACTCCTGGGCTTAAGTGATCAATCCTCCAGCCTCAGCCTCCCAAAGTGCTGCGATCACAGGTGTGAGCCACTGTGCCTGGCCATATGACTCAGTTTTTAATAATGACTCTACGTAAAACTGACCTGCACTATTGCATCTGGCAATCGCGTGGCCCAATCCATCTTCAAAGCCAGCAACAGTCGTTGAGTCCTTCTTTTAACTTCCAATCTCTGATTTTTCCTTCTGCCCTTCAGCCTGAGAAAACTCTGCTTTTGAAGGGCTCATGTCATTCAATTAAACTCTCCTGGATAAGAAGATCCTCATGGGAGAGAGATCTCATCACACTGACAGGTTTCACCCACACTCAGGGGGTTGCCCGAGGGTGAGCGGGGTCCCTGAAGGTCATTCTTAGAATTCTGCCACGGAAGAGCCCCATAGGCCATTATAGGGACAGGGTTTACTGTAAAACAAGGTGATTCACATACACAGACCAGTAATGCTGTTCCTAAAGGGGCCCAAGCTGATCCCATCAGTCAGCAGGGCTGCTCACAGGGCACCTGGCCTGTCTTTGTTGAAGGCGATTCCTGTGAAGGCAGTGGAGGAGCTCCGGGTGGGAGGTGAGTGTTGTGGAGAGCCCAGCAGCCCGCTGGGCTGAACCTTGGACCAAGAACCAGTCTGTCCTTGGCTCCCTTGTGGGTGGGGAAAGATGAGGTGTATCAGGCAGGGTCCAGTCCAGAAACAGAAACCAGAGCAACAATCGTAGAGGCCGTTGTTCAGCCAGGTATTGAGAAAATAGAGAAGGCAAAAAGGGAACACTGGTGTCGTGGAGGAGACCCCTGCCAGCATTGGCTCCACACAGCTGACCCTGGGATAAGAGAATTGTTGGACTCTTTAGAACCTGGAGCTGGGAAGGCAGGTGTCTGCCAGCTGGCGGGTGCTGGGAGTCTGTGGGGGCATGCGATGAGGAATTCTGCTGGTGGAGGGAAAGCCACAAAGTGGATTCCGCTGCTGCTATGGGAAGGGACGGTCACTACCGCTGCCCCTGTGGGGAGAAGAGCCCCGGGGGAAGAAGAGCACTGCTGACAGAAGCCCATTCTCTTCGCAGGCTTCAGTTTCACATTCTTGGTACCTCCTGGTGGTGCCTGGGAGGGAGCCACTGCTGTACAGAGATGCCAATTCCAGAGGCATGGTCCGGCACAGAGCGCTGGCTTCCAGCTGAAGGACATGTGTAACAGCAGGAGATACCTTTCTCTGGGGTCCCAGGCTCCCGTCCTGGACCTTGGCACCCCGCCCCCCGTGCATTGTCGTCTTCTGAGTCTGGCTTTGTCTGGCACATGAAGTTGGATGGGTAGACTCTGGAAGCGTCCAGACCAGCTTGCGATGCTGATGAATAAGCTGATTTTGATGGGGTGTGTGAAACGGAGATGCCAGCCCAGGGGCTCAGCTTGCTCGTGCTCTCATTTAAAAGCAGAAAATAGCGACTTCATTCTCGGATACGTTTGCCAGCCCCAAAGGATTAATTATCTACACACCCAGAAGCAGTGGAGCAGAATATTTTGGCAGGATTTTCAGGATTTGTGTCATCGTTGCTTAATATCTGTTTCTTCACAGTCGGTTAGAATTTTAAAGGATTTGAAATACTGCAAGCTATCTGTGTATAGAGGCTGTGGATTCGGGCTGGTACATTTGCAAAGTGCCCATTTTATTTTTTATTTTTATTTTTATGTTTTTTGAGACATATTCTCACTCCGTCACCCAGGCTAGAGTGCAGTGGTGCCATCAGGGCTCACTGCAGCCTCCACCTCCTGGGCTCAGTGATCCTCCCACCTCAGCCTCCCGAGTAGCTGGGACTACAGACATGTGCCACCACGCCCGGCTAATTTCTGTATTTTTTGTAGAGACAGGGTTTTTGCCATGTTGCCCAGGCTGGTCTTGAACTCCTGGCCTCAAACTGTACTCCTACCTCGGCCTCCTAAAGTGCTGGGATTACAGGCATGAGCCACTGCACCTGGCCGCAAAAAAAGTTAAAGTGCTAACTTTAACTTTTTAGATTAGTAAGACTGCTAACGTGTTTCATTAGTTCAGTGATAATACCGGCTTCAAAGAAAAGCCTTGGCAAATACAAATCGTAAGCAGATAGCTCAACTCATCATCACAAAGCAAAGCCCACCCAGTGAAGAAACAAATGTGGGAAGCCCCGGAAGCCCCTCCCCATCCCCACCCCCCCCCCCGCCCCCCCCGCCCTGGAAACAGCCGCTGTCCTGGTGTTGACAGCAGAGGTGGCACTGCCTGGCTTTGAACTTGAAGGTGGGACTCAGGGGTGGTTGGCTGTTCAGATGCAGCAGGGAGAGAGGGTTTGGGGCATTGCTGGTGCACGGGAGAGGGTGGGGATGGCCCCCCAAACTAGCGGAGGCCGGGCTTGGCCCTGGGAGATACAGGAAGGAGGCCCCCACTCCGTGGATTCCGTCCTTCCTCTCCATCTGTCTGGAACCCTCACCCTCTCCCTCCCTCTCTGTCCTCACACACCCACTCCCTGACTCTCACTCAGGCTTTTGAGGCATGTGTGCTGCCCGCGGAGCCCTTGGCCTGACTTCTTCCAAGGGGTGGGGTAGACGCCCACATTTTCACAGCAGAGACAGCCTCCCAGCCTCTGTTCAGTGTGTGGACAGATGGGTATTGCCTTCGTTTTATTGTTTGTTAGTCTTATTGAGTGCTTTCGCTGGGTGCGATTTCTGGAATGATGCGTGAAGTGCTTCCCCATGGAGGTCCTGTGGGCTGGGCGATGCCCTCCCGGGCTGGTTGCTCCCCAGAGAGGGAAGCCCAGCTCCAGACACACAAGGCCCTGCCTGTGCACATGTCATGTGTGACTCGGGGAGAGCCTCCTGCTCTGATGCGTCAGCCCTCCAGCCTGCAGCTGGGGGCCCCGTGCCAGCCGGGACTCATTTACTCCCCTCTTCTGAGTCAGCACCTGCTGGGGTTCGTGGGACCCCAGACCTGGCTCTCTTACGCCTACCTGTTCCTTCTCTGTCTTGCAGGTTTTGGGATTTGAGATTGACGCGGTGAACTCTGTCCAGTTTTCAAACCACACAGGTAAGGCGTTGGCTCCAGCAGCTGGCATAGAGCAGACTGTGGGTGTGAGGGACGGGGCGGAGTGTGGGTGTGAGGGACGGGGCGGAGTGTGGGTGTGAGGGACGGGGCTTTCGTGTGGACGGGGACCTGGAGTCCTGGGCGTCGCTCGGGCAGAGCCTGCACAGCATATCAGGGTGTAGGCCTGGGTGGCCTCGCCTCTGAGAGGGGTTGTGTTGACTCAGCTTGGCTGCTTTGAGGCTGTGTGACCCAGTGCAGGTGGCAGAACCTCTCGGTGCTTCAGTTTCCTTCTCTGTAAGACAGGAGGGCAATCCTAACACCTGCCGTGAGGTTGCCAGAGTTGATTACGTCACTTGCATAAAATGCTTGGACCAATGCCTGGCTCAGAGCGCAGCCGTGTGACTCCTGCTGTCCACCTGCCTCCTGGAGCTGAGGAGGGTCCCCCATGGGGTGGTCGTGCTGGGGGATGTGTAGGTGGTTCTGGGTTTTCTCTGTTAACAGCAGTGCTGCAGGGCCCCGTGTGTGCCTCTGTCTCCCTGCCCTGGGACTCTGAGGACTTTGCTGGCTCAGGGGACTGAGGGTGGCCGGCCTCAGAAGCCCCTCACAGGCCATGCTTTCCATGCCCCCAGCCCCATGGCCTGGGGGTGGAGGTGCGTGGAGTCCCCCCTCCTCTCTGTGGTTTCTATACTGCTTCGTCGGCAGGAGAACAAAGCTGTTCTGTTCTTTGAAACCCCACCTCGCTTCCCCTGAAATTTCTCTGAACCCAGGCGGAACCTTGGGAGCACAGAACGTCCCAGAAACAGCCTGGCAGAGCATCAGTGCGATATGTTGGAGCAGGGAGGAGGGGCCTGGCCCCTACTCTTGGGAGTGGGAAGGAATGCTGTGGTTTCTTTTGAGGTGGGCATGACACGTGCTAAGTGAGAGGAAAGAGTTGCTTGGCCGGTGCAGACGGACAGGCTCCAGCTCTTGGCGGTGCAGATGGACAAGCTCCAGCTCTCGCTGAAACCCTTTCCTGCCTTTGCTTGCGGGGCACACTGGGTGCTGTGAGATTTGGAGACGTCCCCGAAGACTCAGGCCCTCCAGGAGCCTCCCTGAACCCACATGTCCTTCCTGGCTGCTCTCGCCATCCTCCTTTAGGATTTATTTTTCAGTGAGTGAGCTGGCCGGCTTGGACACTAAAGCAGGGTGTTGAGTGTGTTTCTGGGGACTGTGTTGGGCTCCGTCAGTGCTGGTTCAACATCCACACCGACCCGGCTGCCCTTGCATGGATTCCAGGTTGCGGGAGGGCCCCGGGCTTTGGCAATGCCTTCCAGGCTTGGTGGAAGCTTCTCAGTGGGTGGTGGGCTGGCTGACCCGAGGGCCCAGAGATAGAAAAGGGGTCTCTGGTCTGCCCTCAGGGGACTGGGATGAGGACAGGACCCCAGGCGCTTGGGAGCCTCCACAGTTGCAGAGCCAGGCAGACAGCCTGGGGGTGTCCCTTCCCATGGGGTCCAGCCTGTGGTTCCTGGGAGCCCCCACTCCAGCCTCCTCCAGATGCCATGGGGGGCCTGCTGGTTTAGGACCCCTTAGCCAGCTCAGTCTATGGCTGTGGGCTGGCTCCCAGCCCCCTGTACCCACACTCTCGGGGTCAGCTGTCTGTGCGGCCTGATCAGGAGGCCCCCGGGTAGCTTCCCTAAGGCTGTCTCTGTGGCTCAGGGGCAACTCCCTAGGGCAGTGAGGGCAGGTGTCACTCTCCCCTGCACCGGGGCCCTTCTGCCTGCTCCCCTTCCCTCGCCCCTGCCACACTGTGCTGCTGGGGAGTGAGGCTGGTGCATCGTGTACCTGCCCTGGGTGCCACGGGAGCTGGTGGTCAAGACGGGGGACTCGGCCTCCTCCGTGCAGCCCCTCAGCCCCTCTGGGCTCCCGTGCCACCCACTGTGAGTGCGGTGCCCACGATGACACTGTCTGTTCTGCAGACCTTGACAGAGCTGGAGGCGCTTTTTGTTTTTTGAGTTTTTTTGTTGTTGTTTTTCCTTTTTGTTCCCCCTACCCTCTGTCTAAGGGCTAGAGGTGCTTATTTTTCACCAAACTCACCTCCAGGAAGCATTTTACTGGTCCTGATTATGCACAAAGAAAGATGTCTGCATGCACGACGGGCCTCCCGCATTGTAGGGGCTGTTCTGCTCCGGGCACCCTTGTTCCAGGGCTGCGCTCCCCGGGCTGTCTCAGGGGCCACGTTGTCATGTTCCTCCTGCTGCGTGGCCCATCGTGCGTGCCCAGGACCAGCTCACGCCCTGTGTGACCGGCCACGTGAGCCCAGCCACAAGCAGCCGTGCGGACACTCGGGCCGTTTCCACTTTTTGGCTGTTGGGGTCATGCTGCCATGAACGTTTGTCTCAGTTCTCCAGTGAGCACCTAGGAGTTGAAGGTGGGGTTGCACAGGCTGCGCCTGATTTGGCAGGGAGCTGGGATGATGCTGCCAGGGAGCTCATTCGCGACTCTGCCCAGGGTTTTCCTTTTCCTTTTTCTGTTTTTTTTTTTTTTTTTTTGTGAGACAAGGTCTCCCTCTGTCATTCAGGCTGGAGTGCAGTCCTGCGGTCATGACTCACTGCAGCCTTGACTTCCTGAGCTCAAGAGATCCTCCCACCTCACCCTCTTAAGTGGCTGGGTCTACAGGTGTGCACCACCACACCGAGCTAATTTTGCTATTTTTCATAGAGACGGAGTCTCACTATGTTGCCCAAGGTGGTCTTGAACTCCTTGGGCTCAAGCGATCCTGCCCCCTCAGCCTCCCAAAGTGCTGGGATTACAGGTGTGAGACTCCACGCCCAGTCTTTTCTTTTTTCTTTTTTAGAGACAAGGTCGGTCTCTGTCGCCCAGGCTGGCGTGAAGTGGCGCAACCAGCTCACTGCAGCCTTGACCTCCTGGGCTGAAGCAATCTTTCTGCCTCCACCTCCCGAGTGGCTGGGACTATAGTTGTGCACCAGCACGCCCACCTCCTGCCCAGGGTTGTTACTGGGGTGGTCACGTGGGCAGCTTCTGCCTGGGATGGGCCACAAAGCCAGACTCCCGGCAGGGACACGGGTGTTCCACACAAGCTGCGTTGTTGGTTCCCTGACGCCCTTCAGGCTGGGGGGTGGGAAAGCCGATCCCCCAAGTGCCTGCAGAGCCCACCTGGCGCAGGCCTCGCCGCCTCGAGGCTGCTGCTCGCACTTCTGCCCCTTCCCCCGGCCAGGCCCCCGTTCCTTGAGGCCGTACCACAAGGTGCGTTCATTTTTCCACACCGTGAGCTGGGCTTGGCAGAGCCTCCACCTTGTGGCCAGTATTCCCAGTGGCCCCTTTGAGAGGATTTCCTGGAGCTCCCTGTCTGAGCTTCCCGGACTGAGGGCACTGGGAAGGAGCCTGCGGAGCTGGAGGTCAGCGGGTGGACGGGTTGCGCTGTCCTGGCTTTCGGAGTGTAGAGCCAGAGGGGATGGGACAGGTGCCCTGCTGCTGGGCTTGGTGGTCCCTGCTGCAGGGAAGGGGCAGCTGGTGTGAACACAAGGAGCTGCGGGGCTGGAGAAGGCCAGGGCCAGGAGCCTGCCGACGGACACCAGCGAGGGGCCAGGCCGGGCCAGGAGCCTGCCGACGGACACCAGCGAGGGGCCAGGCCGGGCCAGACTCCCTGGCCGGCTGGGATCTGACAGGAGTGCCAGGCTCCTTGGGCCGCCCGAGGAACCGCTTGTTTGCCTGTGCTTTTTCATCTGTAAATGGAATGAGTTGGACACAAGATCCAAGCGCCCTCCCCTGTTGGAGAAGGTTCTTGTGGGCTCTGGGCCCATCCCACATCCCACAGTGGGCAGGAGGCCACCAAGAGGTGCAAGACCATGCCCTCTGTTTCGATAGGAAGCTGGGCCTCAGAGGGGCCTGGGGCCTGTGTCTGAGACCCGGCCAAGTGCTGGACGTCTCCCCTTCCTCATGGCTGTTATGGCTGAATTACGTCCCCCCAAATTCTCATGTTGCAGCCTTAACCCCAGCACCTCAGTGTGGGACTGGGTTTGGAGATGGAGCCCCTACAGAGGTCAGCAGGTTAAAAGAGGCCATCAGGGCTCTGGGTGGGCCCTGATCCAAGCTGCTTGGTGTCCTTGTAAGAAGAAGAGATGAGGACACAGACACACACAGAGGGACAGCCCCATGAGGAAACAGGGAGGCAATGCCGTCTGCAAGCCCAGGGCAGAGGCCTCAGGAACCAGCCCTGGTGACACCTGGACCTTGGACCCCCGTGCCCAGGACAGTAGGAGAATTGGAGCCGCCTGGCTGCAGTCCTTCCCGATGGCACCCTGTATTAGTCCGTTCTCACACTGCTAATTGTTGGGAAAAGGGCTTGTGGAATGCCTGTATAAACTGGCCATGAAAATATGGGACAATAAGTTGTGGAAAGCCACAAGAGGCCTCTGAGGAGGAAAGCCTCCTAATTGCCATCATGTTCGCATGCTCAGGGCGAGACCTGCTGTCTTATCTGTAAACACCGTGTTCAAGGAGAAAGACATTCCTTCGAAGCACTGGACTGTGGACAGACACACGAGCTCCTGGTTAAGCCCGCTCCCACCAGCTCCTGTCCGATAAGTTAAAGATACGCTGTTTGAGCACAAAGGAGATTCATTGAAACCGCTATTGCTGTAGATTACGCCTGTGACGCACTGCCTCCCTTTCACTGTTTCGCCCTGAATATCTGCTTCTCAGATCTAAGTGACTGTACTCAATAAATAGCGTGGAGACCAGAGCTCAGTGCCTTTTGCAGCCTCCATTTTGCCACTGGCCCCCTGGCTCCTACCTTTATGAACTCTTTTCTTTTTCTTTTTTTTTTTTTTTGGAGACGGAGTCTCACTCTGTTGCCCAGGCTGGAGTGCAGTGGCGCGATCTCCACTCACTGCAAGCTCCACCCCCTGGGTTCATGCCATTCTCCTGCCTTAGCCTCCCAAGTAGCTGGGACTACAGGCACCCGCAACCACGCCCGGCTAATTTTTTTGTATTTTTAGTAGGGACGGGGTTTCACAGTGTTCACCAGGTTGGTCTCGATCTCCTGACCTCACACACCACGCCCAGCTAATTTTTGTATTTTTTAGTAGAGATGAGGTTTTGCCACGTTGGCCAGGCTGGTCTCGAACTCCCGACCTCAGGTGATCTGCCTGCCTGAGCCTCCCAAACTGCTGGGATTACAGGCGTGAGCCACCGCACCCGGCCCCACCTTTATGAACTCTTAACCTGTCTCTTCTCATTCCTTTGTCACTACCGGACGTTGGATACACCATGGGTGGTGTTGAGGCTGGTCCCCAACACTAATAAAGACATACCTGAGACTGGGTCATTTGTAAAGGAAAAAGGTTTAATGGACTCACAGTTCAGCAGAGCTGGGGAGGCCTCAGGAAACTTACAGTTATGGCAGAAGGGGAAACAAACACCTCCTTCACATTGGCGGCAGGAAGGAGAAGTGCAGACTGAGGGGCCCAGGGTTTTAAAAGCCCCTTGAAACCATCAGCTTTTGTGAGAACTCAGTCACTATCATGAGAACAAGATGGGGGAACCACCCCCATGATTGAATGACCTCCTGCCAGGTCCCTCCCACAACATGTAGGGATTATGGGAACTGCAATTCAAGATGAGATTTGGGTGGGGACACAGCCAGGCCATGTCACCTCCCCAGGAAAGGAGCACATGTGCAGCAGTGGTGAGTCCCACCCTGCCTGGAAAGATATCAAAATCCGAGGGCAGAAAGGACCAGGAGGGACCATTGCTCACCTCCCTCCTCCTACCCCTTACCCCAAACCCCGCCCCAGCCTGGCAGAAGCCTCCTCAGGACACACCCTCCACCGGAGGGGCAGGCTGCTGTGTGAGGCACTGACCTCGCCCGCAGTGGATACCACCTGCCCCTCCTGACCCCAGTGACTGTTAACCCAGAGTCCATCAGGGGCTTGGTCTCTGGCAGACCCACCCCTCAGTGCGTACACTCTGGTGTCCCGGGCAGAGTACAGGGCAGGCGCCCCCAGGTGCACCCCCCAGATGCCGCACTGTGCCTGGAGCGTGGCTCCTGATGGCAGTCTCAGGACCTTTGCGCCACACGTCCTCCCGTGCGACGGCTGCTGGGGAAAGCCAAAGGCGTCCCTTCCAGCGGGAGCCAGCGACTGGTACGCAGGAGGGCCCTCAGGGGCAGGAGCCATGGAGCCCTCCTCTGGTGTGGGAATTCAGGGGATCTTAGCCACAGGGCATGGCGCGTGGGCGCAGAGCCGGCCGTGACCCACAAGTGCGTGATACTTGTACTTTGCTATTCTAGGAACCCATACATCAGTTTTCCTTATTTGCTGAAAAAGGCATGCATTAGAGGGGTGATTCATGTGGGAGGAGGCCGGGAGCCCCTCGATGTGAGGCGTTTCTCATGGGCGAATGTGGGGTATCCATGGTGGACCCCCACCCTGTGTGGATGGCTGCCCCCTGAGCAGTGCTTTGAGCTGGAGCTGTGGTCAGGTTCCGCAGTGCAGGAAGGGCTCCCAGGAGGCTGGTGGTCCCGCCTGCAGGAAGCCGACGCGTCTGTCCTCACACATTGATATGCCTGTCTGCCTGGGACGGACACTTCACCCTGGCTACCCATCGGGCCAAGGGCAGGTTGTATACACCTGGGCTGAGGCCTCTTTCTCATTCACATCTATCTCTTGCTCAGGAGTTGATCTAAGACAGGCTCTAATTGCACCTTAATAAGCTTGTTGGGGAGGAGTTGGGGGTGGGGACATAACAAGCCCTACCTGCCAGGGTATCCGGGTGACAGTGGCCGGTGGCCGAGCACCCCGGCCTGAATAGCTGGGGACTAATGCAGGAGACGCTGGGAAACAAGAGACTGTGACGTTGTGCGGAGGGAGTAGCCAGGGGCCTTCCGGACAGCAATGGGGGAGCAACGCAGCCGTGAGCTGGTGTGTCTCTCCCCACGCTCCTCCTGTACCTGGGACGCAGCTCCCGCAGGAACTGGCAGTGGGAGTGTGGGGGCCACGGAGGTCGTAGTAACCATCCCTGACAGTGCAGGGGCGGGGGGCTCGCGGGGGGGCTCGCGGGGGGCTCGCGGGGGGGCTCGCGGGGGGGCTCGCGGGGGGCTCGCGGGGGGCTCGCGGGGGGGCTCGCGGGGGGCTCGCGGGGGGCTCGCGGGGGGGCTCGCGGGGGGGCTCGCGGGGGGGCTCGCGGGGGGCTCGCGGGGGGGCTCGCGGGGGGCTCGCGGGGGGGCTCGCGGGGGGGCTCGCGGGGGGCTGGCGGGGGGCTGGCGGGGGGCTCGCGGGGGGGCTCGCGGGGGGGCTCGCGGGGGGGCTCGCGGGGGGCTCGCGGGGGGGCTCGCGGGGGGCTCGCGGGGGGCTCGAGGCGTCCCATGTGGGCAGCCGTTGGGACCTGCCAAGCACTGCGCCTAGTGATCTCCTTCGGGTTTGAGCCAGTCCATGGGGAGGAGCCGTCCACCAGGCAGCCTCAGGGAGAGTGGGCGGGTGTCAAGGGAAGCCCACGGCCCCAGCTGGCCCCCTTGTGTCTGAGCCCCCATGGCTTCCTCTGCCTCTAGGCTATGCCCACTGGAAGGGCCAAGTGCTGAATTCAGATGAGCTCCAGGAGTTGTACGAAGGCCTGAGGCTGAACAACATGAATAAATATGACTACGTGCTCACAGGTAGGTGCCGGAGCAAGCTGCCGCAGGGGACTACGCACCCCACTCCAGCCAGGGTGGGCTCAGGGAGGTCCAGAGCACCCCCGCCCTGGGCCTGTCTCGGGTCCCTGCCCCTTCAAGGAGGGCCTTGGCGTGCCCAAGCCACCATCACACCCCCGGTAGCCTGGGGGGTCCTGGCCACACTATGCCTGCCGGGACAATGACTGCCCAGGCTGTGCCAAGTCACCCCCACTCCTGTGACCACACTGGGGTTCCAGTGCCCAGGGGAGGGTGCAGGCAGGGTGTTGGGAACGCTGACCGGGGCAGGACAGGTGGGTGGGACACTCAATTAGGTGACGGGCTGCTACCTGGTACACTGCCATCCTTTGTCAACTTTCTGGTTAAAAAAAAATTGTATTTGTATACATGTTTATTATTATTATTATTTTTGAGACAGGGTCTCACTCTGTGGCCCAGGCTGTAGTGCAATGGCACAATCATAGCTCACTGCAGCCTCAACCTCCCAGGCTCAGGTGATCCTCCTGCCTCAACATCCCAAGTAGCTGGGAGTAAAGGCGTGCACCACCATGCCCAGCTAACTTTTTGTGGGTGTGTGTGGAGACAGGGTTTTGCCATGTTGCCCAGGCTGGTCTTGAACTCCTAGGCTCAAGCCAGCCACCCACCCTAGCCTCCCAAAGTGCTGGGATTACAGGCGTGAGCCACTGCAGCCAGCCTGGTTTCTACACTTTTAAATGGTTAGGGGAAACACTTAGCCTCCCAAAGTGTTAGAATTACAGGCGTGAGCCACTGCGCCCAGCCTCTCTACATGTCTAAAGGTCACATATAAGGCCAGGCACAGGGGCTCGAACCTGTAATCCCAGCACTTTGGGAAGACTAGGAGGGAGGCTCGCTTGAGACCAGGAGTTCAAAACCAGCCTGAGCGGCATAGTGAGACCTTGTCTCTACAAAAAAATTTTTAAAAATTAATTAGCTGGGCACAGTCCCAGCTACTCGGGAAGCTCAGGTGGGAGGATGGCTTGAGCCTGGGAGTTCAAGGCTGCAGTGAGCTATGGTTGAACCACTGCACTCTGGACTAGGGGACAGAATGAGACCCTGTCTCAAAATAAATAAGATTAAAGTGTCATATGCTTATTACTGAAAGTAGAAATATAAATAAAGGAAAGATCACTCCTTCACCTCTCGCCCGTGGGTTCATTCCTGTGAAGCACAGCGTTTCTGTTGAGAAATGCTGCCGGGTCTGCCCTCCGTGTCTTTCAACTGTGAGGACACCTCGTTTGCACCCACCTCCCTCCCCCCAGCTCCTGAGCACTGTGGGGACACCTCACCTGCACCCACCTCCCTCCCCCCGCTCTGAGCACTATGGGGACACCTCGCCTGCACCCACCTCCCTCCCCCCAGCTCCTGAGCACTATGGGGACACCTCGCCTGCATCCACCTCCCTCCCCCCGCCCCCAGCACTGTGGGGACACCTCGCCTGCACCCACCTCCCTCCCCCCAGCTCCCGAGCACTGTGGGGACACCTCGCCTGCACCCACCTCCTTCCCCCCAGCTCCCGAGCACTGTGGGGACACCTCGCCTGCACCCACCTCCTTCCCCCCAGCTCCCGAGCACTGTGGGGACACCCCGCCTGCACCCACCTCCCTCTCCCCCGCCCCCAGCACTGTGGGGACACCTCGCCTGCACCCACCTCCCTCCCCCCAGCCCCCGAGCACTGTGGGGACACCTCACTTGCACCCACCTCCCTCCCCCCAGCCCCTGAGCACTGTGGGGACACCTCGCCTGCACCCACCTCCCTCCCCCCTGCCCCTGAGCACTGTGGGGACACCTCGCCTGCACCCACCTCCCTCCCCAGCCACCCCTCTGCAGGGTCTGCTGGTGCTTCTCTTTCTTTGTGCCACAGTTGATCGTGGTGAGTCTCCTGTTTTCTGAGGGTGACCTGGATTCTCCCCCTAAAGGTTATACGAGGGACAAGTCGTTCCTGGCCATGGTGGTGGACATTGTGCAGGAGCTGAAGCAGCAGAACCCCAGGCTGGTGTACGGTAGGCAGGGGCCCACCCTCGGGTCTGGCTGTGTGGCCCCACACGGGTGGGGCTGGCCTGGGAGCCCGGGAAGGGACGTCTTAGCCTCCTTCCTCCTCTGCACGCCTCCGTGCCCCGCCTCTCCGGGCCAGTGAATTGTGTCTGCTGGGCCTCTGAAGATGTTGGCCTGCTGAAGTCCGCTGGGCTAGAAGCGTTTGCAGGTGACCCTGGTGTCTTGTGTGGCTGGTGTGAGACAGGAAGGGGTGTCAGTGTGCTCGTATAGTGGGGCTGCTGTGTGAATGCCTGGGGCCCAGGCAGCACTGTTGTGTGACTACACTCACCCTAAAGGCGGAAGGGGCAAGGGGCCACACCCAGGCAGGGCCAGGCTAGGGAGTGGGGGAGGGCAGGGTCATACCCAGGCAGGGCCAGGCTAGGGAGTGGGGGGAGGGAGGGTCACACCCAGGCTGGGCCCGCTAGGGAGTGGCCAAGTCTTTGGGGCATCTGCCTTGATCGGTCTTTCGTTAGAGGCCAGGCAGTGCTGGATCCATCTTGACGCCTGGCAGAAGGGGCAGCGTCACCAAACCTTGCAGACAGGCTCTCTCTGGGGCACAGGTCTCCCGGGTGGCAGGAGGACAGGCCTGGCCTAGCACATGGTTTGCCACGCTGTGTACTGTTGCCCAAAAGGAGAGTGCTTGTCGGTACAGACGTGTGAGGCCCGGATTGTGTGTGCTCGAGGCCAGGAAGAGGAAGGGAGCTGCTGCACCTGCTTGGGTGACAAACAGTGATGAATAGCACCTCACAGCAATTAGGATGACTGTCATCAAAGACACAGAAAATAGCAAGTGTGAGCGAGGATGCAGAAACCCTCATGCACAGCTGCTGGGAGTATGAAAGGGTGCAACCACTGTGGAAAACACGTTGGTAGTTCCCCAACAAGTGGAACACCATCACCATGTGACCCAGCAATTCCGCCCTGCGCATGTATCCGAAATAGCTGAACACAGACTCAAGCGGATGTGCGTATTCCCACGTCTATAGCAGCGTTGTTCCCAGTGACCAAATGTGGAAACAGGCTGTGTCTGTTGATGGGTGATAGACAAACAAAGTGTCCGTACATACAATGGAGTATTACTCAGTCTGGAAAAGGAAGGAAATTCTGACACACTCTGCAATGTGGATGGCGCTTGAGGACATGATGCTTAGTGAAAGTAGCCAGACACCAAAAAGGGAGACTGTTACACGATCCCGCTATCTGAAATAGCTAGGAAAGGCCAGTTCATCGAGGTAGAAAGCAGACGAAGGCTCGTCGCGGCTGGGAAAGGCCAGTTCATCGCGGTAGAAAGCAGACGGAGGCTCGGTGTGGTGGCTCACGCCTGGAATCCCAGCACTTTGGATGGCTGAGGTGGGCGGATCACCTGAAGTCAGGTGTTCGAGATCAGCCTGGCCAACATGGTGAAACCCCATCTCTAATAAAAATACAAAAATTAGCCAGGCCTGGTGGCGCACACCTCTAATCTCAGCTACTTTGGAGGCTGAGGCAGGAGAATCACTTGAACCCGGGAGGCGGAGGTTGCAGTGAGCCAAGATTGCGCCACTGCACTCCAGCTTGGGTGACAGGGCGAGACTCCATCTCAAAAAAAAAAAAAAAAAGAAAGCAGACTAGACGTTACCAGGGCCTAAGGCAGGGGGAGTGGGGCGTGAGTGTATAGTGAGGACAGAGTTTCAGTTTGGGAAGATGAGAAGTTTTGGAGGTGGATGGTGGTCGTGGTTATACACGGTGAGAATGTCCTGAATGCTCCTGAATTGTACGCTTAAACATGCTTACACTGGCAAAGATTATGGTATATATTTTTTACTATATTAAAAAGTTAAAAAAGGGAAGATACCTACTTCAACTTGGCAGCTTAAAAAACAAGAAAAAAGAAAAAAGCCAAATGTGGTTGCTCACACCTGTGATCTGAGCACTTTGGGAGGCCAAGGTGAGAGGATCGCTTAAGCCTAGGAGTTCAAAACCAGCCTCGGCAACATGGTGAGAACCCATCTGTACAAATCATTTAAAAGCTAGCTGGGTGTGCTGCTGCATGCCTGTGGTCTCAGCCACTTGGGAGGGTGAGGCAGGAGGATCGCCCGAGCCTGGAAGATCGAGGTTGCAGTGAACCATGATTGCACCACTGCACTCCAGCCTGGACAACAGAGCAAGACCCTGTCTTAAAAAAAGAAGAAAGAAATGTGGAGGGTTTCTTACTCGTCAGCTGTAGCCTTTGCTGATAAGATGCCCTTGTGTCTCTGCAGTGTGTGATCCAGTCTTGGGTGACAAGTGGGACGGCGAAGGCTCGATGGTGAGTAGTTTCACGTGTGTGATTTAAAAGTGTGGTGAGTGGAGCTATTCCTGTCCAGCCAGAAGACAGGCCCACATCTCTAAGTGTCTAACTCGGTGGGACTCCTCTGTCCAGGGGTAAAAAGACAAACCTTGTTAGGAAGGAGAAAGGGAACCGACATATTTTCTGTAAAGTGCCTGACGGTAGATAAATATCGACACCTTTGCCGGCCGCACAGCCTTGCCACAGCTGTTCTCATTAGAGCACAGAAGCAGCCACAGATAAGAGGTGTACAAACATGATGACTTCTTTTCTTTTCTTTCTTTTCTTATTGAGACAGAGTCTCACTCAGTCACCCAGGCTGGAGTGCAGTGTCATGATCTCAGCTTACTGCAACCTCTGCCTCCTGGGCTCAGGCAATTCTTAATGCCTCAGTCTCCCAAGTAGCTGGAATTACAGGTGCACAACACCACTCCCAGCTAATTTGTATATTTTTACTAGATACGATTTCACTGTGTCGTCCAGGCTGGTCTCGAACTCCTAGCCTCAAGTGATCCACCTGCCTTGGCCTCCCAAAGTGCTAGGATTACAGGCATGAGCCACCACGCCCAGCCATGGATGACTATTTTCTAATAAAATTTCATTTGTGGACACTGAAATTTGAATTTTCTATAATTTTCATGTGTCACAAAGTGTCATTCTTTTTTTGGCTTTTTTCCCCTAACCATTTAAAAATGTAGAAACCAGACTGGGTGCAGTGGCTCACGCCTGTAATCCCAGCACTTTCGGGGGCCAGAGCGGGTGGCTGGCTTGAGCCCAGGAGTTCAAGACCAGCCTGGGCAACATGGCAAAACCCCGCCATCTCTAATCAAAATACAAGACAATGAGCTGGGTGTGGTGGCACCTACCTATAGTCCCAACTACTTGGGAGGCTGAGGTGGGAGGATCACTTGAGCCCAGGAGGTGGAGGCTGCAGTGAGCTGAGATCGCACCGCTACACTCACTCCACAGAGCAAGACCCCATCTCAAAAAACAAAAGAAAAATCTAGAAACCACTTAACCCATGAGCTGTGTAGTAACAGCAGCAGCTGCAGCCCACAGACCTGGACGTCGGATCAAGTGGATGGAGAACAAATCCACTGTGACCAGTCCAGAAGCCTAGAATTTAGAGGCGGAAGGAACCCAAAGGTGATCCTGCCTGTGGGTTTTTAACTCAGCCATTCAGCGCCCAGGCGATTTCAGTATCTGCCTTCTTTGTCGTTGTGTCTAGGGTGTCTGTTTGCTTGCTGTATATTCACTGAGCACAGCGGGCTTCTCCACTGGCACAGGGCACGCCTGGGCCTGTGCCCTCCCTGCCCCGCTGGGTCAGTGGTTGAAGTCAGGATATCTGTCACTGGGCATCTAACTGGGTGGGGCGGGCTGGTGTGCTCAGCGTCTGTCTGTCCACTTTCTCCCATGCTTGTTCTCTGGAAGGTTCCCTGTCCTGCGCCCAGCCTGCAGGACCCCAGCTTGCAGCTCCCTGCCTTCCCTTCATGGTGCTCCCTGGTGTGGGCTCTGCTGACCCTCGGCAGACACTTGCGTTTGGATCACGAAGAGTTGGGGCCACTGTCCAGTTCAGTGCGGCTACGGGATCTGGCCCCTCGATTTTGATCACATTTGTTTTCCTGAACAAGAGTGGCCTAAACACGAGCTCCTGTCTCAGATGAGCGGTCACCCCGTATCTCCCCTTTCCGTGAGGTTAAAGGGGTGTGTTGGCCCTCCCTACCCAAAATGGGGCTCTAAAGAGCTTTCCTTCGATTTCCTGGTCCAGGGATCGGGGACATCCACGTGCCACCCACCCATCCTTAGTGCCTCCTAAGCCATGTCTGGAGCAGCGGCCGGCGTGTGACCACTTTGTGTGCTCTGAGCACCAGGTGCAGACATGCCTCCTGTGGGGCCTCTGATCTCCAAGGGAGGTTTCCGGGAGCAAAGTGAAGTGAAGGGATTGGAAACTCAGGCCACTCAGCCAGCAGGGGCTGCTGAAATGTTCCATGAAGCCCACAGAATTCTTCCAGAGCTTCGCACTGCCTCCGGCTTAAATTTGATCGCTAAAGAAAACCATGTGTTGCCTGGCACAGTGGCTCACGCCTGTAATTCCAGCACTTTGGGAGGCTGAGGCGGGTGGACCACCTGAGGTCAGGAGTTCGAGACCAGCCTGGCCAACATGGCGAAACCCCGTCTCTACTAAAAAAAATTAGCCGGGCGTGGGGGCAGGCGCCTGTAATCCTAGCTGCTCGGGAGGCTGGGGCAGGAGAATCGCTTGAACCCAGGAGGTGGAGGTCGCAGTGAGCCAAGACCACGCCATTGCACTCCAACCTGGGCAACAGGAGCGAAACTGTCTCAAAAAACAAAACAAAACAAAAAAGTGTTGAATTGTTTGTCAGGCAACTTAGACAAAAACTAGATGAAGGGTGCATTGACTCAGCCAGGAAGAGCTGGCGGGTTGGGCTCCCAGTCGCAGATGGACATGGCCAGCACCCCCAAGCCCTCACCAGATGACCAGGGCTGCTCCATCCACCTGTGGGGTTTCCCTTTCCTCGTCTCCCTCCTCCCTCCCTCCCTCTCTCCTTCACCTCCTTCTCCTCCCAGACACTCTGTGGGGACCCACTGTGCGCCCTGAGTCCTCCCTCGGCCCCTCGGAGCACTTAGGGTTCCCCACTCTAGTGTGCCTCGGCCACACGCTGTCCCCGTGGTGGGAACAACTTATCGCTACAGTCGGGGGGCCTGGCCCCTGAGCCTGGACTTCAGGGGGCTTTTGGGGGAGCACTCCGTGGTGGGCTTCCCTCCGCGCCCCCTGGCGTGCTTCCCTCACGGTGACTCAGCCTCTCCTCCTGTCTCCTTTGTTGGCCAGTACGTCCCGGAGGACCTCCTTCCCGTCTACAAAGAAAAAGTGGTGCCGCTTGCAGACATTATCACGCCCAACCAGTTTGAGGCCGAGTAAGTCATTTTATTTTATTTTACTTTATTTATTTATTTTTCAAGATGGGTCTCGCTCTTGTCACCCAGGCTGGAGTGCAGTGGCACGATCACAGCTCACTGCAACCTCTGTCTCCGGGGTTCAAGCAATTCTCCTGCCTCAGCCTCCCGAGTAGCTGGGATGACAGGCGTGAGCCACCACGCCCGGCTAATTTTTGTATTTTTAGTAGTGACGGGGTTTCACCATGTTGGCCAGGCTGGTCTTGAACTCCTGACCTCAGGTGATCCACCCATCTCAGTCTTCCAAAGTGCTGGGATTACAGGCATGAGTCATCGTGCCCAGCAGAGTAAGTTATTTTAAATGGCAAATGCTACCAGTCTTTCCCCAGGGAGAGCTGCAGAGAACATGCCAGAAGGGTCTCCACTCTGCCTTCGGGCTGCCTGTTTAGCTTACGAAGTGGTTCTCAGGAAGGTCCTGCCATGGGGCGAGTGCCCCTTGATACTGGAGCAGGATGTGGTGGGGGCGCCTGGGTTGGAGAAGCCCCTGCCCACCTGGGTCCCAGGCTCACGTCTTCTCTTTGGTGGTGGCAGCCATGGGTGATGGGGATGGTTTTGCTGCCCCTGTGCCTTCCTGAGCGGCAGGGCCCCTGGGAGAGGAAGAGGAGGGGCGACCTGGGGAGCTGTGGGCTTGTCGGGGCCACCACAGCAGAGGGAGGGTGGGGGCAGCACAGGCGGCCAGGTCACCTGCCGCCCTGTGAGGGGAAGAGGAGTGTGTTGGGCTTGGCTGTCTGATACCGAGTTTGAAAAGGTCTTTCTTTGGGTGCATGGCTCCCCCCAGCTGAAGAATCACACACCAGGGGAAGCCACCAGCGCCCCAGTGCCATGAAGAGTGGAGCTGCCCGCGGAGGGGGCTGGTGCCTGTCACAGCTTAGCTCTACCTGGCCCTGAGCCAGGTCTTGAGCCCCCCCATTCACGCAGGGGTGGGGGCGCCTGGACTCTTGGAGGCCTGGGATCCCTGACCTGGGCCTGTCCAAACTTGGGGGTGGCATCTCACTCGAGGCCCCTGAGCCATGGGTGGCCCATGCGTGCATTAATCGCTAGCGGCTCTTTGACTTTGTATGGATGTCAGTCACCCATGCTGAGACCCTGCGCTGTGGCATGGGCCTTAAGTGGGGGCCGTGGCTGCTGTCCATCACCACGGTTACGTATAAACAGCAGCCATGATTGGGCCTTACGTGACTCCTGTAATGTGAGGGTCCCCTTTAGAACCAAACCCCACATGTTGCAGGGGCCCCGGCCCAGGGTGGCCAGTGGACGAAGAGTTAGCTGCCTGTGGGGATGGGGATTTCCAGAGCCGCTGCGGTTTGGGGAATGTCAACACACAACCCGGAGAGGAGAGGCTCACCTGTCCCCACCCGCCTGTCCCCGCCTGTCTTCCAGGTTACTGAGTGGCCGGAAGATCCACAGCCAGGAGGAAGCCTTGCGGGTAAGGAGGCCCTCTGGGGCCTGTGCGGGGCACATGTGCCGCTCACGGTGGGGACGGGAGACAGGCTGCCTGAGTGGCACCACTGTGTCATTTCTCCCCAGCAGTGACTGAACAGTCTGTACCAGTCGGGGCCTCCAGAGATCAGCAGGATATATGTGTGTGTGTACATGTGTGGACATGTTTGTGCATGTGTGTGTGTGTGTGCATGTGTGCGTGTGTGCGCGCGTATTGTGTGTGGGTGTGTGTGTGGATGTGTGCGTGTGTGCGCGCACCCATGTGTGCATGTGTGCACGTGTGTGTGTGCACATGTGCATGTGCGTCTGTGTGCATGTGTGTCCATGGGCGTGTGGGCATGGGTGTGCACGCATGTGTGCATGTGTGTGCGTATGTGTGCACGTGTTTGCACATGTGTGTGCATGTGTGTGTGTGTGTGTGCACATGTGTGTGAAGAGCTATTGTAAGGCGGTGGCTTGAGCTGTGTGGGGGCTCCTGGGCATGTTTGGGATTTGCAGGGCCAGCTGTTGGGAAGGGCAGGCTGGAGGCTGGACACAGGAGCAGATGCAGCAGCCCAAGGTGCAGTTTCTTCAAAGTCCTTTTTCTCCGGGACTTGGAGACCGTGCGTGTCTTGCTAGCATTGAACCTTGGTTGAGTCATCTTAGTCTGTTGGGGCTGCTGTGACAAAATGCCTGAGACTGGATGATTTATAAAAAACAGAACTTTTGGCCGGATGCAGTGGCTCACGCCTGTAATCCCAGCACTTTGGGAGACTGAGGTGGTCAGATCACTTGAGGTCAGGAGTTCGAGACCAGCCTGGCCAACATGGTAAAACCCCATCTCTACTAAAAATACAAAAATTAGCTGGGCATGGTGGTGCACGCCTATAATCCCGGCTAGTTGGGAGGCTGAGGCAGGAGAATCGCTTGAAGCCAGGAGGCGGAGGTTGCAGTGAGCTGAGATTGCACCACTGCACTCCAGCCTGGGCAACAGAGTGAGCGAGACTCCATCTCAAAAAACAAAACAAAACAAAACAAAACAGAACTTTGTTCCCCACAGTTCTGGAGGCTGGGAAGTCCAAGGTCAAGGCACTGGCAGGCTCAGGGTCTGGCGGGGGCTACTTTGCTACCCGGACTGCACCTTGTTGCTGCATCCTCATGTGTGGATGGCAGGGGGCTCGAGGGGCCCATGCTGCTCCCTCCAGCCCTCATCAGGCACAGAGAAAGGGGAGCCCTCATGACTTAATCATGCCCCAGAGGACCCCTTCTGAATATTGCCACATGGGTGCCATGTTTCAACATGCATTTTAGAGCAGACACTGTCAGACTGCAGCAGGAGTCCATGTGCTTTGGGCTGCGTTCCCAAGCAGCCTGGCGCTGCCCTGAATTTTGTCTTCACAACCCAGGAGCCTGGTCCTGAGAATGGGCCACTGCAGCAGCCACTCCTCCCACTCGGAGGCCTTTCGCTGACCTGGTATTGGGTCCTGGGACTGCAGAGTCAGCTGACCCTGGAGCAGGGTCCAGATTCTGCTATGGACACGTGCTGGGTGGCGATGCAGCACATGTGTGTGTGTGTGTGTGTGTGTGTGCGCGCGCGTGCTGCCCGATCTGAGGCAACCGTGCGGTGGAGACAGTTTCTACGAGAGTTACAGAAAAGCCAACGTACAGAGGGGCCAGCTCCTCCTCGCTGCAGGACAGGCACCCATCTGTCCACCCCCCAAGGGGGAGGCCCTCGCCAGTCACCTGTGGGGAGCCACACGGTTTGGGCTGACAGTTTGTGGGGGGATGGTGGCTGACCAGGTGGCTGTCTTCCCTCCGGGAGTGCCGCCATTGGGAACGGGCTCTGGGGGAGTGGGGTGTGACCGGCCGTGGCTGATGCTCCCCGTGCCACTGCCAGGTGATGGATCGGGGAGTGGGGTGTGACCAGCCGTGGCTGACATGTGACCGGCCGTGGCTGACGCTCCCTGTGCCACTGCTAGGTGATGGACATGCTGCACTCTATGGGCCCCGACACCGTGGTCATCACCAGCTCCGACCTGCCCTCCCCGCAGGGCAGCAACTACCTGATTGTGCTGGGGAGTCAGAGGAGGAGTAAGTGCCCCCATCGTGCACCGTGGCCGCCTCTGCTCTTCCCAGAGGAAGGTGTTCTTTGGGGCTGCAAGAATGTTTTGGGTTCAATAGCATGAAATTTAAGCCTTATCCAGCACCGGGATGACACCCCCATTTTACAGACTCTCAGGGATCAGGTGGGATTCCCAAGACCTCACAGGTCACGATGAATGGCCTGGCTGGAACTGGCTTCCACGGACCCAGCATCATAGGCCTCCCTCAGAGCCAGGCGGGGTCCCTGAGTTCACTGGGAGGACGCGTCCACCCGGCTGTGCTGATTGTTTACACAGACACCACCTGGTTGATTTTCTCTGAACAGTGTGAAAATGACGCAGAAGGCTGGGGCCATGCACTAAGCTAGTGGCCGCGGGTTCATACCCATGGGCCCAAAAGAACAGCTGTGACCTCCTTGCCGCTCTATGTTTGGACATGGGAGCCTTGCAGGCACACACATAGGCACAAATGCACATACACTTGGGCACAAATGCACATACGGGCACACACGTGGACATGGGCACACATAGGCATACATGCACACATACACACGGGCACACACAGGCATACATGCACACGGACACATGCATACACACGGACACACATGCATACACGTGGGCACACGCACACACATGCACACACACTCGGATGCGTCCAGGTACATCCTAGTTCTTCACGCCGTCGTTACTCTCGGGAGTTTCACAGCGACCCCCGAGGCGGCCTGACCGTGTGGCCCTCTGAGGGTGCAGTCTTTCCCTTTCCCTTGCTGCGGTGATGGGGACCCCATGCATGCCCTGAGCCCCCACGTCCTGAGCAAGGCCACCTTGTGCTCTGCCCCTGTGACCCTCCCTGCCGCCGTGCCCAGGAGGATCAGGGATGGGAGGCTGGCCCTGGCAGAGGAGCGGCAGATCTCAGTGACCTTGCCCATCTTCTCCCCCTAGGGAATCCCGCTGGCTCCGTGGTGATGGAACGCATCCGGATGGACATTCGCAAAGTGGACGCCGTCTTTGTGGGCACTGGGGACCTGTTTGCTGCCATGCTCCTGGCGTGGACACACAAGCACCCCAATAACCTCAAGGTCAGCCACACGCACCGCTCCCCTCCTCGCCCACTCCCACGGCACCTCATGGGGAGCAGGATATGAGAGTCCTGGTGGGGGGTCCCTGCTGAGCTGACAGGGCATGGCCCTGAGTGCTGGCCCCAGTTGTGGGGGAGGGCAGTGGCCAGGCCATGACAGGAGTTGCGCCTGTCACTCTCACATCGCCTCCCATCTCCCCTTATTTGGGACCTAGGGATGATCAGAGTCTGTGAGGGCTTGGGTGACAGATGTTTCAGAACAGACCCATGGGGGTCCCACCAGGATTCAGATGCCACCCGCTTGGCGTTGGCGCAGGGCTGTGGGATGCATGGAGCTGTTGTGTCCTTGGTGACTTGGGGGCTGCTGCAGAGGAGTGGCACCCTGCAGCATTTCCCACAGTGTGACCACGGCAGTGACCTGAGGGACGGAAAGGCCGGAGCCGCCCTTCGGGGACAGTAGGTGGGAGGCTGAGGACAGGGGTCCAGGCAGGTGTGGAGAGCCGTCTTTCTGGGCGTTTTGTCTGGATGTCTGCCTGCTTTTCAAGTTTGTAGAGATCGGGTGGCTTTGCTTAGACAGTGGGGGGAGTGGGACTGTTGGGCAACTGACATGGCAGGTTGGGATGTGGGGTCTCGTGAGCCTTTCTCGTGTGTCCCATGGGTAAGCACACAGCTCAGCGGGGACAGAGGAGTTTTGTTGCAACTGTGGCGCTCAGATCCGTGACCTCCCGTGCTGCATGCAGCAGAGTTGCTTGTGGCCTCGGCAGGTGGTTTTGTCAGCTGAGTCCGAGGACGCCTGGAGTGTGTCTTCTTACAACACCGTCCAGAGCCGTGCTGTGCTCTGAGGTGGTCCCCAGCCCCTGGGCTCAGCCCCCAAAACTCCCCTGGGTACTTCCCACTGCGTCCGCAGTGGGTTCAGGTGGGAGGGAGGGGCCTGCCATCCCTTTGGAATGTGGGGCAGGGCAGGGGTGCCATGGGAGTGACAGGAGGAAGACAGGACACCTCTGTCACTATTGGGTGCGCTGGGGAAGGAAGAGTTCAGAGGTCAGGACCTGCAGGTGGCTCTCCCTGTGCTGTCTTTGCCGGGCCGCTTAAGGGGCCACGTGTCCCCCGGGGTACACCTCCTCCCCAACAAGTCAGTTTCAGCTGAGTGTCCTGGTGTGTAAAATGGAAGAGGTGGACTGAGGCCCTTTGCCTCCCATGGGACTAGCCCTCTGCACACCCTGAGCTGGAATGCACAGCCCCCTCATTCCATCCCTTCTGGCCCCTCAAGGGCAATTAAACAGGGCCATTAAGTAAGCCTGCCGTGTTTAATTGGTGGTGCAGGGCAGTGGAAAAGTGCCAGCTGGCACCCCGAGGAGGCCTCACTGCCAGGCCGCCCAAGGTCACATTCTGGGTTTGGCCAGCCCAGGGTTGTGGAGTCGGGGAGCGAGTTCCCCGTGCTTCCCCAGCACCTTTGACTCTGAGGCATCACTGAGTGATGATTGGCTGACTCTGAGGCATCACTGAGTGATGATTGGCTGACTCTGAGGCATCACTGAGTGATGATTGGCTGACTCTGAGGCATCACTGAGTGATGATTGGCTGACTCTGAGGCATCACTGAGTGATGATTGGCTGGGCTTTCGGCAGGAGCACTTCCCCTTGTAGACTCGTTATAAGGAGTTAATTCTGGGAACTCCTACCAAGCTCCTGCTGCCTGCCAAGTTCTATGCAGGTCACGAGGCTGTCCCTTCTGTGAGCCATCTCTTGTCCAGAGCAGGTAGCTGGGACCGGGCATCTGCTCAGCCCTCCGGGCTCTCCGTGGTGGGCAGTCCGCAGCCTGTCCTCCAGGGTTCAGCACGTGCATTGGCGGAGCCGGCTCCCCGGTGGCTCGGAGAGCAGGACGGCCCTTGTGTTCCCTGGAAATCCCCTCCTGGCAGCAGTGGGCACGTCGGGTGTTGTGAGTGGGCCAGGGGCACAGCAAGTCTGTCCTCCCTGCAGGTGGCCTGTGAGAAGACCGTGTCTACCTTGCACCACGTTCTGCAGAGGACCATCCAGTGTGCAAAAGGTACGGCGGCCGGGCTGCATGGGCTGCGTGGGCTCCTGGCTCCCGAAGTGGGTGGGAGAGAAGAGCTGGCACGTGCTGGTTTTGAAGGTGTGATCGGTGTCTCCTGCTGACCTCACCTCTGGGAGTGGGGGCAACAGCGGGAGCCCCTCTGAGATGGGAACTCAGTGCTCTCTGCCTGCCCCGCAGCCCAGGCCGGGGAAGGAGTGAGGCCCAGCCCCATGCAGCTGGAGCTGCGGATGGTGCAGAGCAAAAGGGACATCGAGGACCCAGAGATCGTCGTCCAGGCCACGGTGCTGTGAGGGCCCCGCCGCTTGCCCGTGACACGCAGCGCGTTGGTGTCTCCGTGTTTGTCCCTGTGAAAACATGTAACGTCTGCCTTAGAGCCATGACCGAAACTTGATATTTTTTTCTTTCATGAGTGTCCGGCATCTGCTGGTCTTCATTGTGAAACGTGCCAGTCGTGCTTTGTGAAAAATAACAAAGTGGTCACAGAAATTTGTGATCTGAAAACCCGGCTCCCTTCCCCACAAGGCTCCTGGGCCTCCGGGAAGACGGGCCCCTGTTTGCCATCTCGGGGGTGTTCCCTGTGGGAGGGTGAGTGGGTGAGGCCGAGCCTGCTGCGTGTGGAGCCTCGAGTGGGCCCTGGCTGCCACTACCGTACAGAGGCCGTGTCGCGCTGGGCTGGGCCTGGGTGGCCTCTGTCTTTGCATCTCTGAGAAGGAGTCGGGTGGTAACGGTTGGGGTCAGGAAGAATTCTGCCAAGTATCTTTACTGTCATTCTGACCATAGCCTCTTTGTTCCCGCATTCGAACTTTTGGTTCTTACTTTGCTGCTCGTTTAGTCCCTGGGGATTTCAGATCTTAGGCTGTTGTTTCACCGTATGGGAGGGTTGATGTGAGCTTGCTTGGAGACACACGGTGCAGCATCAGGGACCTTCCCAGGCCCCAGCAAATTCAAGTCGGTCTGCAGACCTCTCAGCTACCCGCGGGACCTCTTGTAACCCATCGGCATCTTCCAGGAATCCGCCGAGTGACTTGAGGAAGATGCTAACGCAGTAAGGTCTGTGCTGGGCCAAGAGCAGCTTTGAAGCTCCAGAGAACCACCCCGTCAGGTTCCTTGTGGAAGCTCCCCTCATCCGTGGTGCAGCAGGCTGAGCACTGCGCGTTTGCCACGTGCTGCCCGTGACAGCACATTGAGCCACAGCATTTGTAGACAGGACAGAGGGGTGCCTGCCCCCTGCCCCTGCTGGCACATTTAACCCTTGTCCCCTGACCTCAGTTCTGTGCCCCACCAAATGCCCAGGGGCAAGAGGCCACCCTGGAAGCTGCCAATCTTCCAAGGTGGGTGTGGGGCACGGTGGGGGCGGGCAGCTCCCAGGCCCTTGGGCAGGCTGGGGTGACGGCAGAGGCCACAGCACCAGCTCTGACAAGTCCTATCATCCTCTGCTCAGCAGTGACCTCCCTGGCCCCACTTTGCCCAGAGTTTGGGGTCCCCCCAGGTATAGCTATAGGCGGCAGTGCCTGTCCCTGGCCTGCCTTGATTTCAGCCACACCCCTGCAGCCCTGCATCCCAGCTCTGGGGTGTGCAGAGGTTTGTGTCTCCAGGGAACCCACGGCTGGAGAGAAATAGGGAGATGCAGGAAGTGGGGGCCCATGGGGCCCCCAAGAAGCGGACTCTCCAAGGGGTACCCCCACCCCGCTACCTTCCCCACGGACGGGCCCCTCCTGGAGCCCATACCCTCCTGTGAGGCCATTCCAGTGTCTTCTAGAAAGACTCGCTTGCCAGGAGTGCGTTCTTTGTTGAAAAATGCCCTGAAGCGAAAAGATGCAGGTTTATATGGAACCCCCACCCCCTCCCCCACTCTCCCACTCTGTTCGTTCTGAATGTCTTCACGAGCGTGCATCAGGGCGCCTGGCTCCCCCACCTCAGCCAGTGAGTCAGACACGGGTTTCGCAGCCATGTTTCCTGGCTCCGAGGACACGGGTGGCAGGCCCGTTGCAGCCCAGAGCCACTGGTCCCTACAGGGCGCCGCCACACCAGCAGGAAGGAGGATGGCTGTGTCCGGAGCCTGGCGGGGAGGCGGCCTCCCCAGTATGTGAGTGCAGGGATCTGCCAGAACCACCTGGCCCTCTGTAGGGCGTTTAACTGGAAATACCCTCACTGCCAAGTGGAGACTGGGGCGTGTGCCACATTGCCAGCCACCAGGAAAGCTTTTCTTTTTCTTTTTTTTTTTTTTTTAAACACCAAGAGCACGTATAGCATGGGGGAAAGAACCTAAATGTCTCTCTGTCCTGTGAGCTGGTGAAAAACCCAGCATGAGAACGCAGTGTCAGGTGTGGGACTCCTTCTGCCCCTGCAGTGGGTGTTACGGGCGGTGTGCCCTGGCGAGCAAGCTTTGATTCTTGGTTCTTTGAGCTCGTTTCAGAGGCTGAGTCCCCACATCAGCTTTAGTTCTTGGACTTCCCTGTATTAAGCAAGAATTAGGAGAATGGCTGTCCCTGCAGGCGCCTCCCGTAAATCCTGAGCTCTCTGGCGCAATCTGAAACTTCTCTTCTGTTTTCTTTGGCTGTATCAGCCGAACCAGGAGAGGCCTGGGCTGCGACTAAGGAGAAAGAAATCGGGGGTTTCTGAGAGCAGATGGTGCCTTTGTGGGTGCAGGGCTTTTGTGGAAATTGTCAGCCTCTACGGGCAGAGTCCGGCATCCCCTCCCCAGACTGCCTGCTGTCAAACCACGGAGCAGCTGGAGCCTGCCCTGTCCACGGCCCGTTTCCACCCGGGCATGTTCGTCTCTCCTGACTTCGGCAGAGGCCCCTGGTGGCCTTCAGTTTCAGTTTCTCATCCAGGAAGGTAACCTTGGGCATTGGCAGTGGGTTTCCCTATGGCTTGGATCCAGATTAGAATTGATCTTTGTTTTCACTTTCCATAGTTAATAACATGCAAAATAATGAGAAGAATTTATTTTAAGGTGACAGCTATACTGGTCCAACATCGCCTGCTTATTGTCAGGGTACAGAAGTTTAATACTTTCTTAATCCAGTTTTTCAAACTTCTCCCTGTAGACCGTAAGGATGAATTCCACAATAGGATCCTTTTTAAAATCGATTTTAAATTGTTGCCTAGTCCTGCCAAGGTTATTATGTGCATCTGTTATTTTTCCAATACATGTAAACAGTTGCAGCATGATGCTTTGTTTAATGTCCTGTTCTTAAGCTCGTTAGAGCCAGTTTTGAAACGTTTGGTCTTACCGTGAACGGAGGCTGGCTTGGCTTAGCCACGCTGATGAGTAAGTGAGGGATGTCTCCATCTTGAGATCACCAGGCAAGAGAGTTGCCTGCACCAGGTAAGAGGCCAAAGCCCCTGGGGTAACAGTCCCCACCGCTACCCGAGGTAAAACAATAAAAGCTATGTGGTTGAGCTCAGGCCTCTCGTGCCTGGTGTCAGAGAAGGCAGAGCCCACAGTAGGTGCACGGTGCAAGGCCCTGGGAGGGCACTGGCCAGGGAAGGTGGTATAGATGGCCCTCAGATTGCGGGGCCCCGAGCAGCTCCCCACTCTGCCCGTCCACCTTCCCTGGCTCCAGCCTCATTCTCTCTTTAGTTTAACTATGCAAAGAGAGGAGGTTGAGAGTGTTCTGGCAGCTGGAGCTCTTTTCCTTGTCCTTCCTGCCCTCCGATGGGGCCACCTGTGTCGGGGCAGCAGTGTCCATGTTTATGGAGATCAGAGGTGTCCCCACTGTGTGGCTGGACTGTACTCTGCTGCCCGGGTAGCCAGGAGTCTCTCCCTCTCTCCCCTGCCGCCTGCCTGGTCTCATGGGCCTCCTTCACACACCCCTCCCTGTGGATCGCCTGCCTGGGCCCAGAGCAGGGGAACTGGAGTTTGTGAGTGAGCAGAGCAGGTTATGTGCAGACAGGGAAACGAGAACTTTGGACCTGGCTTTCTGAGTCCAGGTGAGAGCTGTGTGGCCCCCCGATGCCACTCTGCCCGCCGGAGGGATGTGCCTGCTGAGCCTTTTCCTTCCACGCCGCCTCTCACTGCCAGGCCAGCGGCTTCCGCTGAGACTCGCTGGAGAGGCGGCTCCCGTGTCCGTCCACCGAGCACTCAGATGGATGCTGATCACCAGGGCCGAGGGGGCTCCCAGAAGGACCCCAGGCCCTGGGGAGGGTGGCTGTGGGAGGCCAAGTCCACTGCCCGGAAGTCTTGTCAGCCCTAAGCCAGGGAAGCCTGGAGCGTGGCCTGGCGGGTCTGGGTGGACACCGTCCCCACTCCGGACTCCCAGCACAGGGGAGGATACCTGAGCCTGTATGGCCCTGTAGCCCTGGGCAGAGCTGGGCCTGTCGTGTGTTCCTGCCTGGCAGGTGCAGGTGCTGGCCATCTGCAGGTGGAAGGAGGTGGGAATCTTGGATTTTTTGTTTTTTTTTGTTTTTTTTTTTTTGAGGTGAAGTCTCGCTCTGACACCCAGGCTGGCGTGCAGTGGTGTGATCTCGGCTCACTGCAAACTCCGCTTCCTGGGTTCAAGTGGTTCTCCTGCCCCAGCCTCCCAAGTAGCTGGGATTACAGGCATGCGCCACCACGCTCAGCTGATTTTTGTATTTTTAGTAGAGATGGGGTTTCACCATGTTGGCCAAGCTGGTCTCAAACTCCTGACCTCAAGTGATCTGCCCGCCTCGGCCTCCCAGAGTGCTGGGATTACAGGCATGAGCCAGTGCACCCGGCGGAATCTTGGAATTTTTATAGACAGCACCTCAGTTTCTGACTCCAGCCGCACACCTCCTGCCTCTGCCAGCAGGGGTTGCCGCCAGACCAGAGCCAGGGCCAGGTCCCTGCGTCCATCCCCCCCGGTAGGATGGACGTGAGCCATCCTTCTAGGGGACTTTTTTCAGTGTGCGACTCGTCTCTGTTAGGTGGTAGGAGCCAGTTTGTGTGGCCTGTGCCACGCTCCACAGTGCGTGGCTGGGCTCTGTGTGTGGCCTGTGTCCCCTGTCCCTGCAGGACCCAGCAGGCATCGTGGCGTGACAGCTGTGTCCAAGCCACTGCCCGGGCATCCCATCACCCACCAGGGTGCACGGTCTCTCCTGCTGGGGGCTTTCTGTCGCATGTGTGTCTCCTGTCGACTCTGCAGTTTGTTCTCAGAGCAGAATGTTTCCTGTTCTCAGTGCACAAAGACACTGGTTTTCAATCGGCGTCTAAAACCACGTTCCTGCCTTTCATTGCAACACGGTGTGTTCATTTGTTTAAAACAGTTTAATGAGTAAGTTTAGATGACTGGTCAATATCTTAAAAATGTATATTAGTAAGAAGTTCTTCCTGGAATTTTTCTTTCGATTCTGGCAGAATAAACAGGTGTTTTTAGTTTTCCCACTGTCTGAGCCAAGCAGGACCCTGTCCCAGAGCAAGAGATGTCCCCTTCCATCTCTGACCCTTGCCTGGGACAAGCTTTGATGGGGGGCCCCAGCTTCAAGGCTGTGGTGGGAACAGCACCCCCAAATGCCAGCCTCTCCTTTCTTCCCATCCACCAGTATACTGCGGGGCCATTTCTGGTCTTTGTCCAACAGGAAACCCATTTCTGGTGGGATATGCCTTCCAGTGCCACAGGGCCACTCACCCCATGCATCTCTGTCCTGCCCGTCAGTGCTGGGACGGACAGCAAGGGCAAGCCCAGTGTCTGGCGGATAGGTGGGTGGGAACAGAGAGGGGAGAATGCCGTCCTAAGCTTCTGCTTGGGGATCCCCCACACGACCTGGGTACTGCCTGGGAAACCTGTCCTAAGTAAAACTATGGACCTCGCCTCGCCCACCGGCCTGCGAAGCCAGCATCTCCGTGAAGGTGGATGGAAGCGCCTTTGTCCTCATTTTGAGCTGCAAGCTGGGTCAGCGGCTCTGAAGCCCTCGAGTGACTTTCTAACCCAAGACCCAGCCCCTGGCAGGAGGAGGGTGGGTGCAGGGCTGGTGGGACAAAAAGAGGCCTCAGCAGGCCTGGAAGACCCTTCCAGTACATCCCACAGCGTGTCGAGCAGCTGGGAGAACCTGTGTCAAGCTCGAGCCGTCATAGGTCCCCATGAGGTGTCTGAAGCCCCTTCTTGGTGATGGGAGGCAGAGGTGCTGACGTTCTGGAGCATGGACGTGAGTCCTCAGCTGGCTCCGCGTGGGCCCTTGGAGGGTGCCAGGTGTGTGGTGACCTTCTGGATGCCTTTAACTTCATGGCTGCGTCATTCCTGATTTAGAACTTTAACCGGAGCTTCATCTAGTGATTGCAAAACTGGACCAATGGGAGGACGGCGGCGCAGCCCGCTCCCTCCGTGGAATGGAGCTCAGCTCTTCGGAGGCATCAAAGCACCTGTCGCCTCCGTGGTCCCCCTGCTGAGGGAGTGCGGCCTCTGCAAGGTTCGGGGGTGGCTTCGTTTGCCTGGAGTGGCCGGCCCTGCTTGTGCCATGTGGATGTTTGTGAGCCTCGGTCCTACAGCACTGTGTAGGCTGCATCTGTTTCGTGCTGGTCCTGTTGACTTGTATGATATCCACAAATAAATATTTTCATGGCGGTCGTGTTGAGGCATGATGGTTCCTTCCCATCCCAGGAGCTCCCTACCTGTGATTGGCTGAACACCCAGTACCCTGCCAGCCACGCTAGGGATTGCTGCTGGAAATGGTGGCAGCTGACTCCCTAAAAACCTCCCCTTTGGAGGAAAGAGCATGCCTTGCCCCTGCCTGCCGGGCCCAGGCCCCCTCCCATCCTGCACTCTGTTTTCTGCCTTGGGGGCTGGCCTGGGTGCCCCGGCATGGGCTTCCTGCAGGACTTCCCAGGGCAGAGCCCTCAGGGATAGGAGGCCTCCCTGTGCAATTCTGAGGCCCAGCTCTGGGTGTTGGCCAAGGGTGTCTGCTCCTCCTGGGATCCACCTGGCTCCTTCACACCTGGGTGGTGACGTTGTAGTGCCTCTGGCTGGGCAGATCTCGTGTTCCCTGACTCATGTGCACCTGTGCGATAAACCCACAGACCATCTCCAGCAATGCCAGGCTGGTTGCTGTGTGCCAAGAACAAGGAGAAGGCGGAACCAGGGGCTGCAGAACCAGCCCCTCCCCAATGAGGACCCCCTCTGGACGCCCCTCCCCATGGAGAACACCAGGAGCCACAGACCCCAGACCACAGAGCACACAGGGGAGGGCACGGGGCGGCCGGGGCAGGGTGTCTGCTGCCTCGTTTATGGGATTTGCTCCGCGTCTAGCACACTGCTGCCTGCAGTGCTCCTGTCCCCTGCAGTGGCTACTCTGGGCCTACGGGCCTAATCCTGGTTGGCATGAAAATGTCCTGAGGCTACTGTGACAAATTTCCACAAGCTGAGTGGCTTAAAGGAACACATTTGTTCTCTTACAGTTGCAGGGGCCAGAAGAGTCTAAAAACAGTCAGCAGGGCTGGTTCCTCCTGGAGGCTTAGAGGGGCTGAATCCGTTTCCTGCCTTTTTTAGTATCTGGAGGGCGCCTGCATCCCCTTGCTTATGGCCCCTTCCATCACCAAAGCCAGTAGTGTCACATCTTTCCACCTCTCCCTGACCCTGACCTCCGCCCTTTCTCTTAGAAGGACCCTGTGTGACTTTGGACCTACCTAGATAATTTAGGGTCATCTCTCATTTCAGGAACCTGAATTTAATCCCACCTGCAAGTCCCTTTTGCCAGGTAAGGTCACAAATTCACAGGGTCTGAGGATGAAGATGTGGACCTCTTTGAGGGCCATGATTCAGCCCACCACGTCTGGTGACGAGGGATGGAGTGTGTTCTGCAGCAGTGGGGGCCTATGCAGACCTATCCCGAAGTTCAAGGAAGCAGAGAGGCCGAAGAAAGAAGCTGCCCTTGGCCAGGTGCAGTGGCTCAGCCCTGTAATCCGAGCACTTTGGGAGGCTGAGGCAGGTGGATCACGAGGTCAGGAGTTCAAGACCAGCCTGGCCAACATGGTGAAACCCCATCTCTACTAAAAATACAAAAGTTAGCTGGGCATGGTGGCGGGCGCCTGTAATCCCAGCTGTTCGGGAGGCTGAGGCAGGAGAATCGCTTGAGCCCCGGAGGTGGAGGTTGCAGTGAGCCGAGTTCGCACCACTGCACTCCAGTCTGGGAAACAGAGCAAAGACTCCATCTCAAAAAAAAAAAAAAAAAGAAGAAGAAGAAGAAGCTGCCCAATCCAGTTTCTCAGAAAGAAACATTTAATAGGGACTTCGGAACAGAAGCCATGTCTGTGTCTGGGGCCCACCCATCACCCCCAAGCCTAGGGCTTATGTACCGTAGGGGAGGGGTGCGTGTGGTTCAGAAGGGATGTGCTGGACAGTTGAAGCAGACAGCATCCCAGTCATTTGCCCTAAGGGCAGGATTTAGGGTAAGTACCTGCCTTTACACAAGGAACAATAGATGAGCTGAAAATCTGAGAGGCCTTCCTAGAACTGGGGTTCATCAGACAACAACAGGGTGGGTTAGCCTCCAAGCTGGAACTGCTGTGGCGTGTCCAGGGGTGGGGCATGTGCTGGCTTGGTCATCTCCCCCTCCGAGGGTCTGAGCCAAATATCCAGCAGCAAACATGCTCGGCCCTGAAGCCTCAGCCATTGTGAGGACTCTGGCTGGGCCTTCTTCCCCCGATGGGTGGGAAAGGCCGGCCTCAAGTCCAGGACCTGCCCTTGAGGCCATGCTGGCTTAGGGCTTCAAATCTGGGTTCCTAGGAAAGGGGCTGGGCTCCAGTGGCGTGGGGGTGGGGACGGCAGATGGAGGGAGGCTGGGAAGGGAGAGAAGGAACCTCATGGGCAGTTAGGCTCCCGGGGCTTCTCTGGGGACACCACCAGCAGAGTGTGGTTGTTGACACCTCCCTGGGGCTCGGGGTCTTCCTTTGGCCCCAGTGAACACCTGTCACACACTCGCTGGGATGGACTGACCTTCAGGGTTTGCTGCCACCCGTGTCCTCCACCCTGGTAGGGCCTTTCCAAGACACTTGTGGGGACAGGCCGGGCCTGGCCAGCATCCGGTAGGCTGCACTTTCCGGAGGCCTCTGGGATTACAGGCCACCTCACCCCAGCTGGAATTCTGCCTAAATTACTGCATTGAGGAGATTCCCTCACAAGGTGCGGACTCAGGCTGGCCCTGAAACAGCCGTCACCTCCACGAGGCCGGCCCAGGCCCCTGCGCACTGCCCTGCTCATGCCCCCATCCATGCCAGCTCCCACCAAGCCCGTGCCCCTGCCAAAGAGCTGGGGGAAGGGATGGGAGACAGACTTCTCTTTCCTTATTTCTATTTTTTTTTTTTTTTCCAGACAGGTTCTCACTCTGTCACCCAGGCTGGAGTGCAGTGGTGTGATCTCAACTCACAGCAACTTCTGTCCAAGCAATTGGCCTCAAGCCATCCTCCCGCCTCAGGCTCCCGAGTAGCTGGACCACAGGCACACCACCACGTCCAGCTCATTAAACAATTTTTTTGTAGAGATGAGGTCTTGCCATGTTGCCCAGGCTGGTCTCGAACTCCTGGGCTCAAGTGATCCTTCCTCCTCGGCCTCACAAAGTGCCGGAATTACAGGCGTGAGCCACCACTCCTGGCTCTTATTTCTGTTTTTTCTGGTAACAGCTTTATTGAGTTACAATTCATTCCATATGACTCAGCCATTTGAAGGGTACAGTTCAGGCTGTGATTATAAAGGCAGCACTGTTGAGGACACTGAGCCTGGACAGGTGTCCCCCCCAAATTCAATGATGTCCTGCAAAAAGGTCCACCCTAAGCCTGGACAGGTGTCCCCCCAAATTCATTGATGTCCTGCAAAAACTCACGTCCACCCTGCACTTCAGAATGTGACTTTATTAGGCCAGGTGCAGTGGCTCATGCCTGTAATCCCAGGACTTTGGGAAGCCGAGGTGGGTGGATTGCTTGAGCTCAGGAGTTCAAGACCAGCCTGGGCAACATGGTGAAACCCCGTCTACACTGAAAATGGAAAAAAGTAGCCAGGCATGATGCCGGGCGTGGTGGCTTACCCCTGTAACCCCAGCACTTTGGGAGGCCGAGGCGGGCGGATCACCTGAGGTCGGGAGTTCAAGACCAGCCTGACCAACATGGAGAAACCCCGTCTCTACTAAAAATACAAAAAATTAGCCTGGCGTGGTGGCACATGCTTGTAATCCCAGCTACTAGGGAGGCTGAGGCAGGAGAATCACTTGAACCTGGGAGGCAGAGGTTGCAGTGAGCCAAGATCGTGCCATTGCACTCCAGCCTGGGCAACAAGAGCGAAAATTCCATTTCAAATAAAAAAAAAAAGTAGCCAGGCATGGTAGCATGTGCCTGTAGTCCTAGCTGCTCAGGAGGCTGAGGTAGGAGGCTCATTTGAGCCTGGGCGGGGGCCGGGGGGGAGAGGCAGGGGATGGGCGGAGGCTGCAGTGAGCCGAGATTGCACCACTGGACTCCAGCCTGGGTGACAGAGTGAGACCCCATCTCAATTGGAAAAAAAAAAAAAAAAAAAGAATGTGACTTTGTTTGGAAATGAGGTCTTTGTGGATGTAATTAGTTACATAAAATGCAGTCGCCCCAGGTGAGGACCCTAAATCCAGGGCCTGGTGTACTCGTAAGAAGAAGGCCTTGTGAGGCCGTGTGACCACGAGATCGATCGATCGCAGTGAAGCTGCTCCAGGCAGAGGACCGCTGACACCCTGGAGACCAAGACAACAGCTGCTTCAAAGCGAGGGTCTGAGGACCAGGCATAGTGGCTCACGCCTGTAATCCCAGCACTTTGGGAGGCCAACACAGGCGGATCACTTGAGGCCAGGAGTTCAAAACCAGCCTGGCCAACATGGCGAAAACCTGTCTCTACTAAACATACAAAAATTAGCTGGGTGTGTTGGTGCACGCCTATAATCCCAGCTACTCGGGATGCTGAGGCAGGAGAATAGCTTGAACCCCGGAGGCAGAGGTTATAGTGAGCTGATATCGTGCCGCTGCACTCCAGCCTGGGCGACAGAGTGAGACTACATCTCAAAAAAAAATGTTTTGGGTTCAATAACGTGAAAATTGTGCCTTATCCAGCAAGTGGTGAATTTCCTGAGCTCCTGTGACCCCCACCAAGGAAGAGCAGACTGAACAGGCTTGGGAAATTTTTCTGTGAAAGGGGAGGGCCTGGGGGTGCGAGCAGGCTCACGCCCAGTGTGCACTGGGCATGCTCAGGTGTCAGCAGCCGAGCCAGCAACACTGGGATGACGCCCCCTTTTTACAGGCTCTCGGAGGTCGGGTGGGATTCCCAAGACCTCACAGGTCACGATGAATGGCCTGGCTGGAACTGGCTTCCACGGACCCAGCATCATAGGCCTCCCTCAGAGCCGGGCCGGGTCCCTGAGCTCACTGGAAGGACGCGTCCGCCTGGCTGTGCTGATTGTTTACACAGACACCACCTGGCTGATTTTCTCTGAACAGTGTGAAAGTGACGCAGAAGGCTAGTGGCCCCAAGTTCACACCCATGGCCCTGAGAAAGCAGTTGTGTGTGTAGCCTCCTCACCACCCTCTCTGCGTCTGGACATGGGAACCTTGCGGGCACACACATGCAAACACATGCGTACATGCGGGCGCACACACACGCACACAGGGATGCACACACACGCGGATGCACACACAGACGCACACATACACACGCAGATGCACGCACACGCAAACGCACCCACATATACATGCGGACGCACACGCGGAAGCACAGGCACACATGCACGAACACACACACTACACGGATGCACAGGCACACACACTCGTGGACACACAGCATACACACACACAGATGTGTCCAGACATCTAGTTATTCACGCCCTTGTTACTCTCAGGAGCAGCACAGCGACCCCGAGGCTGGCCTGACTGTGTGGCCTCTGAGGGTCCAGTCTTCACTTTCCCTTGTTGGGGGGATGGGGCCCCCATGCACAGTCTGTGCCTCAGTGTTCTGAGTGAGGGCACCCTGTGCTCTGCCCCATGACCCTCCCTGCCTCGGTGCTACCCTTCCTGGAGGCGGGACACGGCGGCTGATCCCTCCCTGAGTGGGAGTTGCGAGTCCTTTGCCTTCTTCCCCCGTCTCCGGCTTGTAGCCACAAAATGTGCTGCCCTGGGCCCTGCCTCAGGTTTCCCTACGGAAACGGCACAGGCCACGCTGCCTCCCCTGCTGGCACCCTAGTCTCTGATGGAGACCGTGGCCTCTCCACCCAGAAAGTGGGCCAGGCCTCACCATCCCTGAGCTCTGTCTGCCTACGTCTCTGGCTGCCACTGACCCCACCAGCATCTTGGCCTCTCGACACACCCCCTCCGCCCTGACTCTGTGTCATACCCAGGCCTCACGACACACTCCTGGGCAAGGCTGCGTCGGCAGCGCCCTGGCCAGGGCTGTGGTCGGGCCATGGAGGGGGCCCCCTGGCTGAGACCACACCCTGTACCCCCAAAAGAGGTCATCCTGCCCGTGCCAGAAACCCCGTCAGGGACATGTGCACCCCTGGAGTGTGGGCGCAGAGGCCGGCCACATTTAGCCAGTTGTACATTCATTCAGGCTGCAATTCTTTCTTATCCCTGGGCTCAGGGCCGCACCCAGACACACGAGGCCGGGCAGGCATGACTCAGCAGCCCTTAGGATCTGCGTCCTGTGATTTTCTCAAGGAGCACAAAGGTGAGCGTAGCCATGGGGGAGAATAGGGAAGGAAGAAGGGCCAACAGTGGCCGAGTCAGCTCTGCTTAGTCTGAACTGCCCCTCCCATTGCTCCCAGGCCGGGCAGCAGCCTCTTGAGCAGCCCCGAGCCCCGCTCTTGTCCTTCCAGCCGGCTCTCAGGGGCTCACCCCCTCCCCACCCCCACAGTCAGCCTTGCGGTCAGCTTTCTCTAAAGGCAGCTCCGCACACGTAGCTCTCCCTGCCCCACGTTGTCCACAGCGCTCCCTGCCCCCAGATCCCAGTGTCCCCACCACAGCTCCGCACCGCTCCTTGATCTGGGCCTGCATTAGCATCCCCGGGTTATGTGGCTACCCGTGCTGCAAAGGAGCCTGGGAAGTGTGTCTTTTCCATCTGTGCGAAATTCTATAGTTTTTCTCGCCCTTAAGGGAGGTGGGGAGAAGGATCTGGGCAGGGAAGGCCCGGCCCATCCCTGGCCACCTATGACACTGTAAGCCTCTTAGAGAGCGGCCATGCCTGCCTCGCTCTGCAAGCAGACCTGCAGGGTGCCTGGCACGAGGACATTCAGATGTGGGAAGGAGGGAGGAGGGAGAGACGACCTGGAAAGGAATGAGTGTGAGCTCAGTCGATGGTCAGGGACTGTGCCCAACCAGGGCCTGGCTGTGCCGTGGGGAGCTCTCCGAGCTCTGAGCATCCAAATGTTGGAGTCCTGACCCTGCCTTTTGTGGGATAGAAAATGGGAATTAACACCGCTTCTGGGCAGCTCAATTAGGAAATCTTAGACGCTCTACCTGGTAGTGGAATGATTAGATTACTCAAGCCTACAATTTTATCTTTTGCACAATTTGCATCCAATTATGTTATTCTGTCTCTAATCTAGTGGGAATCTATTCTCATCTCCATCAGTTGGCCCTGCTTCATAACGCACGTTTCCTGACAGCAGTTAGAGGAGAGACTGAGTAAGGCTGTGGTGGCATCTCCCAGCTCCTTTGGGCTGGTAAGGATACTGTTGGCTTTGCCTGGCTCCCCCCACCCAGACCCTGTCTACACAGACAGAACCTCAGCTAACACAGAGCCTGGCTGCTCTGTTCTGCCAGATCGGGAACACATGGCCAGCAAAACCTGCAGGCACAGGGCGCGGCGGCTCACGTCTGTAAGCCTACCACATTTTGGGGCTGAGGTGGGTGGATCACTTGAGCTCAGGAGTTCAAGACCAGCCTAGGAAACATGGCGAAACCCCGTTGCTACAAAAAACACAAATAATTAGCAGAACAAGGTGGCATGCATCTGTAGTTCCAGCTGCTCAGGAGGCTGAGGCAGGAGGATCACCTGAGCTAGGGGAGGTCGAGACTGCAGTGAGCTATGGTGGCCCCACTGCACTCCAGCCTGGGCAACAGAGTGAGACCCTTGTCTCAAAAAAACAAAACCCAGGCCTGGAGTGGGGGCTCACGCCTATAGTCCCAGCACTTTGAGAGGCTGAAGGGGGTGGATCACCTGAGGTCAGGAGTTCGAGACTGGCCTGGCCAACATGGTGAAACCCGGTCTCTACTAAAAATACAAAAATTAGCCAGGCATGGTGGCAGGCACCTGTAATCCCAGCTACTCAGGAGGCTGAGGCAGGAGAATCACTTCAACCCGGGAGGTGGAGGTTGCAGTGAGCCAAGATAGCACCATTGCACTCCAGCCCAGGTGACAAGAGTGAAATTCCATCTCAAAAACAAACAAACAAAAAAACAAAAAAAAACCCTACCAGCTTTGGGAAAAGTGATGCTCGCTGAGAATTCGGGGTGGAGGGTAGGAGACCCAACCAAGATGACACTGTCACTCGAGAGTGAGTGACAGCTGGCTGGGGACCCGCAGCTGCCTGCTCAGCCCAGGGAGCATGCCTGCCTCAGGAGCTTCAGAGTGAGGGTCTGCGCTCTCAGCGTGGGGCGGTTCCTTGCCTAGCATCTGTTGAGTGCATTTCCATCAGCCAGGGCCCCAGTGGAAACAGGCAGCACTCACAGGAGCAACTCAAGCAGCGTTTGGTGTCCAGCGTGTGGAAGCGGTGTTCCCTTTCAGGACGGGGCCCGCGTTACAAACGGGGAGCTCAGGCCAGGCCGTCCTGGGCTCCTGCACGTTCTGGACTTTGCGCACCCACCCCTCCACCTTCCCGTCCTACCTGTGACTTGAGCAGGCGCCCAGGCTGTAGGGCGGACTGCAGGAGAGGGGCTGCCCCTGGAGGGGGTTGTAGGCCTCTGCTGCCCTGGCTCCCCTTGCCGTTTTCATTTATTTATTTATTATTATTATTATCTTCAAGACAGGATCTCTCTCTGTCACCCAGGCCAGAGTTCAGTGGTGTGATGATGGCTCACTGCAGCCTCGACCTCCCGGCTCAAATGATATGATCCTCCCACCTCAGCCTACCAAGTAGCTGGGACTACAAGTGTGTGTCGCCAAACCTGGCTAATTTTTTATTTTTTGTAGAGATAGGGGTCTCACTCTGTTGCCTAGGCTGGTCTCAAACTCCTGAGCTCAAGTGATCCTCCCACCTCGGCCTCCCAAAGCTCAAGCCATTTTTAACATTGCCGAGGCAGTTTTGGGGAAACATGCCTGAACGAACCATGAGTAAGACCTCCACGTTTTCTTTCTGGCTCTCAGGGGTCTGGAGGGGAAGTGGCTCATGGCAGGTCCCAGCACGTAGGCCTCTGTTTTCTGGTTCATGTTCCAGGATGGGGAAGGACCTAAGCCATCAGTGTCCTGGAGATCCAGCGTCTTAATTCATTCAGGGTAGCCCGTCCCGCCCTCCAGACTGCTGGGCACACCAGGGGCTCTGCTCCTGCTCTGTCCCAGGACTCAGGGCCCCTCCAGGGCAGCTGCCGTGACGTCGTGGCTATGAGGCATTCAGCCGCCTCCCAGAATGCGCCATGCTCTTGCCCAACCTGGACTCCCCACTCTCTGCTGCTGGCGCCAGGACGGTCTCACCCACCTCAGCCTCTAGCTCCTCCTCCTCAAGCCTCAGGTCTGAACTTGGCCATGGCCTCTGCCCAGAAGCCTTCTGCACCTCTGTCAGATCCCCGTTTACCCCCAGCAGGACCCTCCCTTAGGGCACTTGGTACAATTTCACATCCGTGACAGTGACAGTCACCGCCCCCATGCTGTGAGCCCCACGGGAGTCCGAGCTGACTTCATTCTTCCCCTACTACGTGCCTCATCCACTTTGAGCTCCTGTATTAGTCCATTCTCATGCTGCTAATAAAGACATATCCATGACTGGATAATTTATAAAGGAAAGAGGTTTAATTGACTCACAGTTCAGCATGGCTAGGGAGGCCTCAGGAAACACAATCATGGCAGAAGGGGAAGGAAACACATCCTTCTTCACATGGTGGCAGGAAGGAGACGTGCCAGCAAAAGCGGGGAAAGCCCCTTATGAAACCATCAGATCTCATGAGGATTCACTCACTATCACGAGAACAGCATGAGGGTAACCACCTCCATGATTCAATGACCTCCCACCAGGTCCCTCCCATGACACGGGATTATGGGAGCTATAATTCAAGATGAAATTTGGGTGGAGACACAGCCACACCATATCAGAGCTCCTAATGCACTCTCAGAGGGCAGGGTTAAACCAGCGGGGGGTTCGGTTAAACCAGCGGGGGGTTCGGTAACAAGGGACTTTTGTCAGCGGGTAGTGAAATTCATCAGATTTCCAAGCTGCTGCTGTTGATGCTCCTAAGGAAGCAGACAGCGTGTGGATGAAATTGACAACTTCATATAAATTATATATATATATAGAGAGAGAGAGAGAAACGGAGTCTTACTCTGTTGCCCAGGCTGGAGTGTAGTGGTGCAATCTCGGCTCACTGCAACCTCCTCTGCCTCCTGGGTTCAAGCTATTCTCTTGCCTCAGCCTCCTGAGTAGCTGGGATTACAGGCACCTGCCTGGCTAGTTTTTTGTATTTTATTTTATTTTTTTCAGTAGGGATGGGGTTTCACCATGTTGGTCAGGCTGGTCCCGGAACTCCTGACCTCAAGTGATCCACCCACCTCAGCCTCCCAAAGTGTTGGGATTACAGGCGTGAGCCTGTAATTTTGATCCCTTTGTCAACTTGTATTTAAACCAGACCACAGCATTAATTACATATTTTATTTTCTGTTTTACACTGATATTTCCTGTTTACACACAAGCTTCTAACCCTAAATCCAGCTTCCCCCAACCCAGGTGCCCCATAGGAGTTCCTGGTCACTGCTCCTGCAGACAACCGCTCCCTTCCTGTTGGGGATGGCTCTCCCGCTGCGTGGTCCCCTAAACAGCCCCTCCCCCACCTGCCTTCCGCTGGAAATTCTCAAGTGGGAAATACAACGGGTTTTCCTTTCAATGCAAAACTGCTTGATTCTGTTTTGCATGTTATAAAAGCTTAGTCTCAGAGTTCATGTTAAGAGTGTAGAATACACACAGTCCATGATTCAGTTTTCTTTTTGGTTTTTTTTTGAGATAGGATCTCACTCTGTCACCCACCCAGGCTGGAGTGCAGAGGTACGATCTCGGCTCACTGCACCCACCACCTCCCGAGTCCAAGTGATCCTCCCGTCTCAGCCTCCCAAGTAGCTGGGATTACAGGCGCCTGCCACAACGCCCAGCTAATTTTTTTATTATTAGTAGAGACAGGGTTTCACCATGTGGGTCAGGCTGGCCTAGAACTCCTGACCTCAGAGTGATCCACCCACCTTGGCCTCCCAAAGTGTTGGGATTCTAGGTGTGAGCCACCGCGCCCGGCCTGATTCAGAATTTCCTAACATCACTTTCAAAGCTCTGTGGACTCACTGGTAGATCCCTCCTTAGTCTTCACAGATCCCCCACGATCTGGACAGCCTGAACCCTGCAGCTGCAGTTCTGGCATACGCTGCCGGACGCCTCGGAGGCAAAGCGCAGCTCAGGACACCCTCAGGAACACGTTCACATCATGACCCCGGTGCACAGAGACTTTCACCCCCAGTCTTAGCTCTTATCATGTATGATGCTCCCTCTTCTGTCCTATTTAACATAGAATCACAGTTGGGAAGGCACCGGACCAATTCCATGAATGGGAAGTAATCCCTGTTGAAAACTAGAAGGTGTTTTTAAAAACAGCCACGCTCTCCTAAGATACCTCCCTTTAGAAGCCCACGTGGCTCCATGGGAAGCCTCCCGCACCACAGGGCACTCAGTGAGGCTGCAGGCTATTCTGCACGTGCACGACACTGTGTGGCTGCCTCTCCGTACCAGAGCATAAAGTGCGTGAATGTATCTGAGATCTGGAGCCAGTTATGCTCTGGAATTGGATTTACTCACACTCTTTTATTTTATGGGAGAAACTGAAGCTTGGGGCCAGGACCTAAGAGTCAAAGCACCAACATGTAAAGAGTGGTGGTTAGGAACGCGGGCCGGAGTGGGCAGGTGTGAATCCTGGGTCCACCACCTGCTTGCTGTGTGAGCCAGGCAGTCTCTCCGCCCTCCATGCCCCCGAGGGGAAGGACCTGCCCGGGGTGGTTCAGACGAAGAAAAAAGTCTAAAACAAAGGAGGCAATCTGTAAGGATTTTAAAAATATATCTATTTTGAAAATATTCTGAAAGTAATTAAGATCACCTATTGGGAAGGAAAGAAATCAACACAATGAAATTTAGGAAGAGAAATGCAAAAGCAGCTGCAGAATCCTGCCCCTTCCACCCCAAGGGGCACAGCCCGGAGATGAAGCTTATTTTAGGATCACAAGTGCACGCTCTGGTAGACGGAGGATGACTTTGTCAGTCTTCTGGCTGAAGGGCCTTGTCCAAAGTCAGGATCAGAAATAGGTCAGCTCATCATGCTTGGCTTTGTTGGTCTGGTAGTTAGATAAGGTCAAGGGCTTGTTTTCATGAGGGAGAGATTGGAACACTCGCAGGTGTACGAAGTCCTCGTCGCCGACGTGCACCTGGGAAGAGAGCGGAGTGAGCGAAGCCTCTGATCCCAAGTCACCTTGCTGCGCCCCTCCAGGTCATTAGCAGCCAGCTGAAGACAATCTTGTCTTCTCCTGCATGTGCAGGGGATGCCTCACATCCCACACTTGTTTCCTTGGGGTTCTTAGCTCCCCAGAAGCCCTAGTCCTCCTGAAAGGCCGATGGACACACACAGTAGGATGCTTATCTCAGGGGGCAGCCACAGGGCGCCCCAGCACCTAAGACCACACAGCCCGGGCCTGCACAGGCGGTTTCCTACCAGCACCCGTTCGGGGCAGGCCCTCCTGAGGCCCACACTCTACCTTGATGAAGTAGTTTGTCCCCGCGACCACCTGGCTCTTGAATGACACGGCCTTAAACACAGGGAACTTCTTGTTTTCTTTCTCTTCAAGCTGGGACCTCACCTAGACAGAAGGGACAGAATGAGGATGTCTCAGTGGCTTCTTGGATTCCCTCCTGCTAGAGTAACTTGCACGCATGTGAGCACACACACGATTCTGACACTGGCTCTTCACACAATTGTCTCTTACAACTGAAGGGACATTTAAACTGTCAGCCTAATAATAAAGTAGAAAAAAACAGTTCCAGCTGGGTACGGTGGCTCAAGGATGTAATCCCAGAACTTTGGGAGGCTGAGGTGGGCGGATCACTTGAGGTCAGGAGTTTGAGACCAGCCTAGCCAAATGGCAAAACCCCGTTTCTACTAAAAATACAAAAATTAGCTGGGCGTGGTGGCGAGCACCTGCAATCCCAGCTACTCGGGAGGCTAAGGCAGGAGAATCCCTTGAACCTGGGAAGCGGAGGTTGCAGTGGGCCGAGATTGTGCCACTGCACTCCACCCTGGGCAAGAGTGAGACTGAGTCTCAAAAACAAAAAAAAAAAACACAGGCCTCAGCATCGCCTGGACCTGTTCTTGCTTGGGGCATCCCGTCGGTCACCAACCATGACAGCGAGGCGGGCCTGGCCTGTGCTCCACCGGAGGGGGCTTCTTGCACAGATGACCTGCTCATTTCAGCCCCTCCAGAATCTTCTGGCAGGCGCAGAGCAACAGGACGTCCATTTTACAGACGAGGAAACCGAGACACAGGGAAGGTTGCCATCTGCAACCCAGCCCGGTTTTTATCTTGTTTTTCTGTGTTTTAACTTTTTATTTAGACTTACAGTTTGAAACAGTGCTAGAATCGGAAGCATGTAAAGAAACCTGTGGACCTTTTATGCAGATACACTTAAGTTTTTAACCCATGTGCCTTATCACTGGGGACCTCTTGCACTCTCTCTCATGATTTTTTTCCCGAACTAGATGAGGATATTGACAAAGATTCTTGCTTGGCCAAACTGTAGTCGGGCTCCTGAAGCGCCTAGGCCACCTGCGCACTTCCTTGTAAAATCCACTTTTAGCAAGAAGCCTGGCTAAGTCAGTTTAGCCAGACCCTTCCCACCCGCTTGCTATCGGATCACCGTGGAGATCGGAGCCGGCTGCTCACCTGCGCCATCGCCGGCGACGCCCGATCACCCTGCCTGCCTGAAACCAGAAGCGCCTCATCCCTGGGGTTTCCTCTCAGAGACTGTCCATGCAGGGACCGCACCCTGCTCCGGGCTATCAATT